>NC_000003.12:131281331-131432846 GCF_000001405.40 Homo sapiens | reverse complement strand
GCCTTATTTAGTATGTTTGGTGAGGTCATGTTTTTCTGGATGGTCAATGCTTGTGGATGTTCACTGATGTCTGGGCATTGAAGAGTTAGGTATTTATTGTAGTCTTTGCAGTCTGGGCTTGTTTGCCCCTGTCCTTCTTGAGAAGTCTTTGATGTCTGGGCATTGAAGAGTTAGGTATTTATTGTAGTCTTTGCAGTCTGGGCTTGTTTATACCCGTCCTTCTTGAGAAATCTTTCCGAGTATTCACAGGAACTTATGCATTGTGATCTAAGTCTTTTGTCACTGTAGCTGTATCTGCATTAGGGGACATCCCAAGCCCAGTAATGTGACTATTGCAGACTTTTATAGGTACTGCCTTTGTGGCCTGGGGTAAGATTCAAGAGAATTCCCTGGATTACCACGCAGAGACTCTTGTTCTCTTCTCTTACTTTCCCCCAAACAGAGTCTCTCTCTGTGTTGAGCTGCCTGGAACTAGAGGAGGGGTGACACAAGTGCCCCTGTGGCCCCCACCAATGGGACTGCAGTGGATCAGACCTGAAGCCAGTGCAGCACTGGGTCTCACCCAAAGCCCACAGTGACCTCTGCCTGGCTACTGCTGATGTTCACTCAAGGCCCCGAGCTCTTCAGTCAGCAGGTGGCAAATCCAGCGATGTTTGTGTCTTTCCCTTCAGGGTGGCAAGCTCCCCACCAGCCCAGGAATGGTCCAGAAATGCTGTTCAGGAGCCAGGGCCTGGAGTTAGGAACCTTAGAAATCTGCTCTATTCTACTGTGGCTGAGTTGGCACCAAAGCTGCAAGACAAAGTCCTTCTCACTCTTCTCTCTCATTTCCTCAACCTGAAGGAGTCTTTCTTCACAGCCACCACCACCTCAGGCCTATGGCGAGTACTGCTTGGCTACCACTGATGTTTACTCAAGGCACGAAGGCTCTTCAATAAGCTTGCGGTGAATGCTACACGTCCTGGGTCTCTCCTCTCAGGGAAACAGGCTCCCCTCTGGCCCAGGACAAGTTCAGAAATGTTGTCCAAGACCCAAGGCCTGGAATTGGGTACCTCAGGAGCCAGTTTGGTGCTTACCCCACTGTGGGCCGAGCTGATACCTACGCTGCAAGACAAATGTCACTTATTTTTCCCTCTCCTTTTCTCAAACAGAAGAAGTCTCTCCTTGCGGCCACCACAGGTCAGACTATGTTGGGTCTCCCCTGAAACCAGCACAGCACTGGGTCTCACCTAAGGCCCACAGAGAGTACTACGTGGCTACCACTGGTGTTTATTCAAGGCCCAGATTTCTTCAATCAGCAGGTGATGAATCCTGCCAAGACTGGGTTCTTCCCTTCAAGGCAGTGGGTTCCCTTCTGGCCCAGGGTATACCTAGAAATGTCATTCAGGAGCTAGGGCCTGGAATGGTTTTCTGTTATATCATGATTGCGCTGGTATACACATTGCAAGACAACATCCTCCTTACTCTCCCCTCTTTTCTCCTTAAGTGGAAGGAAGGAGTCTGTCCCACAGCTCTGAGCTGTGCTCCTGGGGTTGGGGGATTCGGGGAGGGATGATGCAAGCACTTCCTTGGCTGCTCCATCTGGTGTCTCACTAGGGCATGTATACCCCAAGTCCACTGGATTCAAAGCCCAGTAACACCAGGACTTGATTAGGATATGCAGTCCTTGTGGTCTAGAATACTTGCAAATTTATTTAGAACCCCAGAAGGCTTTAGCCTGTGGCGATGGGATTAGCTGGAACTCAGTTTCCAGTTGCTGGAAGAGATGATTCCTCTCTGGCTAAAGGCTGATCTAAATGCTCCTTCCATGGGTGCCAGCTGAGTTCTGCCCTGTGTTGCTTTCCGCTATTGTAGGGCAGCACTGAGTTTCAATGCAAGTTCCACAGTCACTGCCCTGTCCCTCCCCCGAGTACACAGATTTTCCCCTCCACATCACGTGGCCACTGCCAGGGGATGGAGGAGGGGTGGTGCTGGCAATTCAGGACTGTCTTTCCTACTCTCTTCAGTGCCTGTTTCCTTGATATGATGTTAAAACCAGGTACTTTGATTACTTACCTGATTCGGGATTCTTATGGAGGTGCTTTTTTGTATGGATAGTTGTTCAATGTGTTATTCCTGTGGGGGGGATGATCATTGGAGGGTTGTATTTGGCCATCTTGCTTCTGTTAACATTATTTAATTTTTTTTTTTTTTTGAGACAAGGTCTTGCTCAGTTGCCCAGGCTGGAGTGCAGTGGCATGATAATAGCTCACTGCAGGCTTGATCTCCTGGGCTCAAGAGCCTCCTCAGTAGCTGGAACTACAGATGTGTGCCACCACACCAGGCTAATTTTTTATTTTTATTTTTTGTAGAGATGAGGTCTTTCTATGTTGCCCACGCTGATTTCAGACTCCTGAGCTCAACCAATTATTTTGCCTTGACCTCCCAAAGTGCTGGGAATACAGGCCTGAGCCACTGTGCCTGACCTGTTATCATTATTGATAGCTCTGAAAAGTTTCTTCGATCTTTAGTGCTCCTTATTGTGAAGTTATATAGGATTTCAGAATTGTGGTTAACAAATTATCCAGTTCCTTTCACATATGCACTGGAAGATTTTGAGGTATGTTTTATTTGAGTGGGTGTAAAAATTGCTTCTAGGTATACTGATTGCTTAGTGCACAAGAATTATCCAATCAGTATACTTAGAAACCATTTCTGTGCCCAGTCACATACAACAAACCCTGTATTAAGGGTTTGAATTTATATATGAGCCAATGTCTACAAAACTCTCCTAAGAAACCAGCCTGCTACCTTGCTAATGTGTTATCAACCTCACAGGTGTTAAGAAAGATCACTTCCTGGCAGGCCAGGAGCTTTAGAAAATTGGGTAGACTTCAAGACGATAGGAACTAACCAAATTTACAGGTTCTCCAGGACAAATACGGTGGAAAGGTTTATTGGTCTTTGTTTCCAAGCTTTGGGGTAGGAAAGAAAATAGAGACTTTCCCAAGTTCAATTTGAGAGTCCTAATCTTTGACATCTTCATTTTATACTTGTATGAAAGTCATTTATATAATGTTTTGAAAAGTATTCTTTAACACCTACACTATAAATATTCCATCACTTTTGTAATGTGCCTCCATAGCCCAATCTTCCCACCCAGTTTATACTGTACAACCAGATTAAGCTTCCCAGTGCCCAGCTCTGACTATATCACTCCCTTGCTCAAAACACTACAATAGCCCCTTCCTCTGGATTCAAGATGGTTGGTATTCAAGCCCTCTTACCATCATAACCCAGCCTCTGTACATCTACCCTGGGCTCCAGGCACACAGAATTCTTCACCTCCCCAGATACCTTTTAATCTCTCACCTCCTCACAATTACTCTTATTGTTTTCTCTGCATAGAATGGCCTCTGGTTAAATCTTCCGTCCACCTTGCAAAGCTTTTATCAAATACCCCATGACCACCAGCAGATATTCTTTCTTCTCTACTCCCACAGTCCTTTGATTTGAATATCCTTCAATCACATTTCATGTTGGTCTTATAGTCAAAACTAGATTTAAACACTTTAAATTCTTTGAGGACAGTGTCTAGCCCAGTATTATGCATACAGTAGGTACCCAATAAAAGTTGATAACAAATGAATGAATGAGCAAATTGGTTGATTCATTATACCATTTACCTAAATGTAATGGTTTGCTTTTTGTTTTTAAGAAAGAATGAAAGCTATTCCTTACCCTTATTGTGTGTGTCACCTTAAATATTTTCTTGTCATCCTTGTCTTAATGGGACTTACCTCAGAAGACAAGGATTCAAGTACAAGTAGTTTATTTAAGAGGTTATCCAAGAAAATACCAGCAAAGGAGTAGGAGAGTGAGTCAAGGAAAAGAAAGAGGCAATAAAGGATATGTTATTAAGCCAATTCCCACTGTGAGCAACAGGAGCTAAGTCCTATTGGGGTGATCTAGGGGGTAGTGCAAGACCCTCTTCAGAGCTGTCCCAACCAACAGGTGAGGACTCTGAGGGGGTATTTATCTACCAATTGGGTGAGTGTTGCTTCTAGGGATGTTATCTCCTGAAACTTCTAGCTCACCCTGCACACAGACCAAGCATACTCCCTTGGCCAGGCAAAAACCCTCAAGCTGAGAGTCAATGGTGTTTGCAGCATGCAACTATCAGTGTGCTCAGGGAATGTAGGTGAGACACCTACAGCTTGTGCTATAATACTGGAGGAGCTCCCGGCCAAGCAATTCCATGTATGTACTCCAGTTAAAGAGAAAAAACAAGTCCCATTCTCCCACTGTCTCTCTGTGTGTCCAAGGATGAATTTTTTTTTCTGATTATACTCTTGACACTGCAGGGTTCCATCACAGTACTAGATTTAGCATTATGGTTTTGGAATATATTGATGGATCTCAGGAGTCACTAATGTTTGGCCATAAAGGAAACTAGACGTCTGCATTTTTTTTTTAAGATTGTATAATGTGGCTGGGTGCGGTGGCTCACGCCTGTAATCCCAGCACTTTGGGAGGCTGAGGCAGGTAGATCATGAGGTCAGGAGATCGAGACCATCCTAGCTAATACGGTGAAACCCCGTCTTTCCTAAAAATACAAAAAAATATTAGCCAGGCCTGGTGGCGGGCGTATGTAGTCCCAGCTGCTTGGGAGGCTGAGGCAGGAAAACGGCGTGAACCCGGGAGGCTGAGCTTGCAGTGAGCTGAGATCGTGCCACTGCACTCCAGCCTGGGCAACAGAGTGAGACTCCATCTCAAAAAAAAAAACCAAAAAAACAAAAAAACAAACAAAAAAAAGGTTTATCAATTACAAGCAAGATGAGGCTGGTTGAGACTTCTGCTTGCCTTTATGGTATTACTTCTCTATGCATTTAATGTGCTCCCTCTGAGCTCTATTTAGCATGCTATTTACTGTGCTGGGAAGCAGAGGGAGGAGGAAAGGCCGAATGCTAGAAATTTGAATCATCCTTGTTAAAAAGATATTCTACATGCAAATAAGGAAAGAGAGGAGGGAGGTTCATATCCCTCTCCAAGGGGTGCTTGAAAAGCAATCACAGGAAGCCATCTGATCACCTCTGGAATGGAAACCAGAATGGAACACAGATTTGGGAACCCAGTGGGTCATGAGACATTTTAATTGGTGACAAAATTTAACCACCAATATGCTGCTCTACTGGTAGATGGCTGATTGTCAGTTCAGAGTGGATAATTACACCTGGAGAAATGCTACAGGCCATTAATTTATGCACCAAGCTGCTAGTCCTCTACCACTTCCCTTCGTCTCCCTCCCCCATCTCTAGCATGCTTCTTATCTCTCCGTGGTTCCAGTGTTCTTAGAGGCACATTCAGACTTGTAGTTATACTCAGGAACAGTGGTTCTCAAACTTCAGCCATATCAGCATCACCTAGGAGACTTCTTAAAACACAGATTGCTGGAATATACTCCAGAGTTTCCAATTCAGCAGATCTGGGGTGAATTTACAACTGTAACAAGTTTCCATGTGATGCTGATACTGCTGGTCCAAAGATCATACTTTGAAAACTACTGCTCTGGGAAGAGTAGCAATTGGAGACAGATCTTTAGGGCCACCAAACATCTGCTCAGTCTTTACAAAACTGGTGAAAATATAGCACATATTCCAAAAACCCATGCATGTCACTTAGCTCAGCTTTAGGCTGAAACTATCAGAACATCCCATGCTGGGCCTCTGAATTTTGTAATTTGCATCAGAAAGACCTCAAAAATTATCTGATCCACAATGGTCTACATTTTTGTTTCTCCTAAAAGCTTGTGGATTTTACTTGAGACCCCAGATGCATTCTTTTCATTAAATCTTTCACTCCCAAAAAGCCAAATAGCTGTCTGGTGTAAGTGTGACTGCTCTACATATGGGAAAAAAGAGTATATATCCCAGGAATCAAATCTAGAGATTATCATGGACCATGAACCAGTTGAATTGTTGAATTTAATGGAATTTGGGACTGGGGTCTTCTGGCTAAATAGTTGTGTCACTCTGGTTCCCTGGTCCTTTCTTTTCTTTTCTTTTTTTTTTTTTTTTGAGACATGGTCTCACTCTATCACTCAGGTTGGAGTGCAGTGGCATGATCATGGCTCACTGTAGCCTCGATGTCTCAGGCTCAAGCAGTCCTCCCACCTCAGCCTCCCGAGTAGCTGGGACTATAGGCATGCACCACCACACCCAGCTAATTTTTGGTTTTTTGTAGAGACAGGGTTTTGCCATGTTGCCCAGGTTAGTCTCAAACTCCTGTGTTCAAGCGATCCACCTGCCTTGGCCTCCCAAAGTGCTGGAATTACAGGTGTGAGCCACTGTACTGGCCATAAATCCTTTGAATTAATTTTCTTACTTCAAGGACAGCCTTTGGGTCACAACTGGGAAAAAAAAAGTAGCACCTTTGGAAATTAGAGCCCTGGATCCCAATATCCCAGTTCATTATACTTAATGGATGCTTTAGGCATTAGAATTTTATTTTCTCATAGAATACTCAGAAAGGCTGAGTGGTCAAGAAAAAGGAGTAGTTCTCAATTTTTTTCAAAAGTAGAATTCCTTCATATGGTCAATTTTTTTTTTTTTTTAGATGGAGTCTCGCTCTGTCACCCAGGTTGGAGTGCAGTGGCACCATCTTGGCTCACTGCAATCTCCACCTCCCGGGTTCAAGTGATTCTCCTGCCTCAGCCTCCCCAGCAGCTGAGGCTACAGATGTGCGCCACCATGCCCAGCTAATTTTTGTATTTTTAGTAAAGCCGGGGTTTCACCATATTGGTCAGGCTGGTCTCAAACTCCTGACCTCATGATCTGCCCACCTCAGCCTCCCAAAGTGCTGGGATTACACACATAAGCCACTGCACCCGGCCGGTCAAAATATTTTATATGTTCCCTTGCCCAAGTGAGTACCTATTAAATAGAAAGATAACTGACCCTTTAAAAAAAAAACCCAACACCTAATGTCCCCAGCTTGGAACTACAGTCCAGTCTCAGCAGTTAGATGCTCAGTGGGTCATGGTCAGGCAGGCCACAGGGACAAATGAGTAAAAGTGATCAAGTTGAGATGGGAGGTAAGGCGAGGCAAGCAGGCAGGAGCTAGGAAGCAGGAGTTCCCAGAAGCTGGAATAAACTCAAAAGTCAAGAACAACACAGCATAGACAAGATATTTTGAAAATGAGGGAAGATATGGCCACCTTGCTTCTGGCAGAAAGTCTTCTCTATGTCTGTGGTTATATTAGCATCAGCTGATGCTAGGACGTGGCCCTCCAGAGTCCAGGACTCAAAGTATAGATTAGTACAACAATCCTCAATACTTTACAGGGTCTAATAATGTGGGTCTAGGAAAGAGAAGGCTAGGAAGCAACATAACGATTAGAAGTCCAGATTCTGAAACCAAACTGCCTTTGTTCAAATTCTGCCTCTGCCACTTGCTAGCTGTGTGGCATTGGCTGGCCCTGAATTATTTGCTAGAGCTGGCTTGTCTGGTTCCTGAGAGCTGATTGTGCATATCTTCTCCCAACTCTCTGCTCAGTGATATTCTCTTGGTGGATTGAAATCAGCCATAGTAGGTATGTTCACATCATGGAAACCTACTGCAAATCAGGGCTTCCTCCATACTATCTCCAACCCCAGAGCTGGTTGTTAAGCATCTACCAGCATACCACTGCTCACTGCTAACATTTATGGGGCTCAGAATAAGAGTATAAAGACTTATCATGTATACATCCAAACATTTAAAAGTTATAGATTATTCTAGCAAACTGTCACATAGAATTATTCTATCTTCAACCTTGGCAAATATATCTTCATAATGACCTGGAGTACCTCCTTTTTTTTTTTTTTTTTTTTTTTTGAGACAGAGTCACTGTGTTGCCCAGGCTGTACTGGAATTGCTGGACTCAATGGTTCCTCTTGTCTCAGGCTTCCCAAGTAGCTGGGACTACAGGTGCACACCATTGCACTTGGCTCTGGAGTGCCATTTTTTAAACTTAGAATTCTAATGCTCTTCAGAGTTTTGTGTTAGGTGGCAGTGAGGGAAGAGCCAGCCCTCCTATTTTCCCTCTCTTTCTACTCTGCCCCCAGCTCCCTCCCTCACCATGTGAGGACTCCCCATCCTACACACTCAAGCTGCCCCCAAACCTCACAATCAAAATAGCTGCTCCTTGGCCATCCCTCTGGCCCTAGGGTACACACATGTGAGGGGAGGTCCACACTCCGGAGGCCAGCCCTGGAGGAAAATCCTGCACAGGACCTGGAAGTGTTCTCAGGGCTGTTTGGGCAGGGAATTCTAGGGTACATGGCTGTGGTCTAGAAGGTAGAACAGAGCCTCCTGTTAAGCAAGCATCTTGGCCCCACTAATTCCTTATCCCACAGGGAACAATAGGCAAGAGGAGACCAGAATGGGGCCCTCTAAAGCCTAGGGCCCAGGGTTCCTGTTGTCCAAGTCTAAAGGAGGTACTGACTTTGGGCCAGTTACTTAACCTCTCTGTACTCAGTTGTCTCTTTTCACTATAAATGGCAAATAAGAGTAGCACGTACCTCCTAGGGTCATCATGAGAATTAAATATGTTAATACTTGTGCAGCACTTAGTGTTGGCCCGTAAGTGCTTGTATAAGGTTTTGTTACATATATAAAGCAAGTATTCATGATTTGAAATGCATACTGGACTGGAAGTCTAAAATCCTAGACTCTAACCACTGCTTGCCATCTATTAACTCAGGGACATTCCTTCACTTTTCTGAGACTCAGTTTTCTTATCAGTAAGAATGAGAGTTGGACTAAATAATCTTGAAGGTCCCATAATTTACCATGGTTTATTTTTGTAATTAGTAGAAATTCCAGAAAAATCTTGTATTCACAAAGAAAGAAAAGATAAGATAGTTTCCATGGGGAGGAAAAAAATTATCTCTAAACCTAGTATTTTTGACTGAATTAGAATTTTAACCACATATAACCAAATGTCATTTAAATTTCTCCCTCCCTAGGATATATAATTTGAAGGGTATTCTTGTATTAATTATGAGTTTAGTATTATATTTTGATGACATTTACATTTGAAGAATCCCCGGCTGATCCTTCCAGGTCAGTGGCAGTGGAGTGACCTGCCCCTCAGCAAAGCTGCAGACACAACTGGCAGTGAGGTACCACACAGATGGTGGCCAGTCTCCATAGCTCCTCTCGCTTGTTCCTTCCTCATCTCAGCAGTGCTCAAGGATTCTGTAGCAGTTATCTATTGCTGTATAACAAAGTAGCCCAAACTTAGTAGTGTAAACAGCAACTGCCATCTATTATTAGATCTTTCACAGGTCTGAGGTCTGACTAAGCTCAGCTAGGTGGTTCTTACTTGGGGTCTCTCATGCATTTGTTTGTATTCAGATGGTGGCTGGGGCTGGGGTCATCTCAAAGTCTTCTTCATCCACTTGTCCAATGCCTGGGTTAGGTAGACTCAAGTAGCTGGGAGCTGGAACGGCTGGGGCTGCTCAGACATCTGTGCTCTCTCGACATGGGCTCTGCCTCTGGTCCCCCAGTATAGCAGCTTCAGAGTGGACCTATTTCTTGCATGACAGCTGAGAGAACAAAAGGTGCATGTTCCAAAGAGAGACCCAGGCAAAAGCTCTATCACTTTTCATGATCTAAACTTGAAAATCACACAGCATCACTTTTGCTACATTCTATTCATTAAAAATGAATCATTAAGGTTGGCCTGTATGCAAGGGGAGGGAAACTAAAGTCCACCTCTTGCAAAAAGGAGTGTCAAAGAATTTGCAGACATGCTTTGAAACCACCACAGATTCCTCACACAGAGATTGGATGAAGTTAGAACACAAGGAAATAGACAGCAGCCTCCCTTCCCAGGGAAGTTTGTAAGCCTTGGGGAAAGAAGAGGCCAAAATGAAGTCCGCAGGGACCAAGTAAGGAGCCACACTCCTCATAGAAGGCTGGGAAATCCTCAGGCAGAGTGGGGCTTTGTTGGCCTGTCTCTTCAGAGTCCAGCACACGGTCAAGCATGCCCTGTAGGTGAGAGCCCTTACTCTCTGCACCAGGAGAAGCTAGTTTTTCCAAGTCTGTACTCTTCTGCCTGTAGAATCTGCCCCTTCTTGGGGAAGACAATGACTAGCTGGACCAATTCTGTGATTCTGAGGGAGTTTCCTGAAGCAAAGCAGTTCTTTTGAACACTAGACCTACCATCATTTCCCTACAACTAGATTAAGGGTTGGGGCCACTTGGACAGTACATCTAGCTAATAACTATGTATCTAGGTAGGAAGAACATATTTACTAGAACTCCTCTCAGAGAGAAGGTAAAATATGATAGAAAGAAATACTCTGATATTTCTTTGATGTTTGAGTCTCAAAGGGTATACTTTAGAAATGCTTTAAAATTGTCTTTTGTCACATAACAAACCACCCAAAACTTAGTGGTTCAAAGCATCAATAATCCATTATTTCTCATGATTCTGTGGTTTGACTGGACAGTTTCTCTTCTAGTTTTACTGGGGCTCACTCTTGTGGCTGTATCAGCTGGTTTGGTTGGGTTTTGAGGCCAAGATGGCTTCCTTTGCATGTCTGACAATTGGTGGTGGCTGTTGGCTGGGGCATCTCAGTTCTCCACATGGTTGCTTGTAGTCCTGGAGCCAGACTGTCTTTCTTACATGTTGTTCTCTGGGCATTGTACCAAGTAAAACATGCAGTGTCTCTTAAAGCCCAGTCTCAACAGTTGATAAACAACACTTCTGCCATTTTATGTTGGTCAAAGCATGTCACAAAGCTAGCCCATATTCAGAGGGGGAGGAAACAGACTCCACCTGTTGGTGGAAGGAGTGGCAAAGGAGCATGCATATTGGGATGGGAGGAATTTGTAGCCATTTTGTTGCACTCTCCCTCAAGAAACACTTGATTTCTTCTAAGGAAGGTGGGCCCTGGAAACTCAGGACTTAAGGACCAAAGCTGAACTGTTTGGGAACACTAAGTGTGAGACTGAGCCCTGCCTCCAGCATTCCCCATCTCTGCCCTTACCTCTCCCTCAATCCCCCAGCTATCATCTGAATGTATATCTTAAGGCTATTTAAAAGGGTACTAAGTTATTAGCCTTACTGCATTAGTACCCACATGCCTCAGCATGACCTTACCTGTCCACTACCCCATGCCCAAAATTTATGGCAAAGATTCTCTGATACCCACTGAAGGGAGAACACCCAAGTGGCCGTAGAAGATCCCATCAACCTGAGAGATGAAATAAACAAACAGAGGGTGGCCACACCATTTAAAAATAGAACTCTGATCCACAAACTCAGCAGCAACCAGTCCAGAAAGCCAAACCACCTCTGCAGCAATTGGTCTAAAATGGTCACAACTTGGCCAGCTTCCAACTCAGGACCAACCAGAGAAAATCAAATATGTTCCCCAGCCCAATCACATAGGATGCCTTGCTTCTAGTTAGCCCATTTCCTGCTTCCCCATACCAACAACTTCCAATCTAGCAAACATGAAGCCTTCCCTTTTCATACTATAAATCATTCACACTGCATTGCTTGCCTTTGAGTCTGTGCCAACCAAAAGGAATGGAGGCTAACTCTCTTGCTATAGCCAACTCTGAATACATAGTTTCTGTTGATTTTCATTAGAGTGGTCTTCATTTATTTCCACAAACCCAAGCGTTTCCCTCTAAAAAGGACTACAGAAGTAAGTTTTGTTGAGAGGTGGTAATGATTTGCACCTGGTAGCAGGGGAGCAGGGGAGAACCAGAGGGTTTCTGAAAATATTTTAAAAGGAAGCTGTAGGAGTTGCTGATGGATCAAATATGTGGTGAGAGAAAGGTTAAGGATGACAACAAGTTTTGGACCCTAAGCAACTGGGTGAATGATGAAACCGTTTTCTGAGATGGTGAACATTGGATCAAGAGTTTAATTTTAGACATTTTGAGGTTACAGTTGAAGGTATAAATTTAGGAGTCACCAACTAGTAGATGGGCCTTAAAGTCATGACACTGGATGATATCACACTGGGAAACACCATTTATTTTACTCAATATGAATTGAGCACTTACTATTTGCCAAGCATTATTTAAGCTTTGTGGATTTAGTGGAAGAAGACATAGACATTGGCCCACCATTGAGAAGTATATAGTATGAATTAACAGCACTGTATTGTACATTTTAAAAACATTTGTTAAGAGGGTGGATCTCATGTTAAGTGTTCCCGCTATGATACATTTTTTTTTAATTGCAGTTTTGAGATCTTGCTACTGGAATTTATTCATGCCAGTGAATAGGGGACAAATATTATGAGAAGCAGTAATGAGAGATATGACCCAGCAGGAGGCTTCTGAGTTGAGACTTAACTAAATGATGATTTGTTGTTAGCCAGGTGAAATGGAAAGAAGAAATCATTTCTGGCAGGGGTAAGAGCATGTGCAAAGGTCCTGCGGAAGAAGAGAGCTTGCCATGACAGACAGACAAGAGGCCATTTGGGTTATGAGCCCAGAGGTGGAGGGGCAGCCTCATGGGAGATAAACAGGCAGGGTCTAGACCATGTAGGACCTCATAGGACATGGAAACATGCAGAGTTTGGGTTGTTGTTGTTTTCTAAAAACAATGGGAAGCAATAGGAGGATTTTAAGTGTGGAGGATACAGGATCTGATTGGTTTAAAATACAGGGTCCCCAAACCTACCCTTGAAGACTCTGATTTAGGAGGTCTGGCCTGAGACTTAGGTTATTTGAATTTTCAGCCAGCACCCCAGGGCATGCTGTCATATGTATGAACCCCACTTGAAGAAGTACTGGCACATTCCTATTTATCAAAGTGTTGCTAAGCATCCAGTGACACTAAACAAGACTTGGGCATTGCAGAAGTTTGCCTCAGAAAGGGATACCTGTGGCCAGGTGCAGTGGCTCACACCTGTAATCCCAGCACTTTGGGAGGCCAAGGCGGGCAGATCACGAGGTCAGGAGATCGAGACCATCCTGGCTAACACAGTGAAACCCCATCTCTATTAAAAATACAAAAAAAAAAAAAAAAAAAATTAGCCGGGCGTGGTGGCGGGTGCCTGTAGTCCCAGCTGCTCAGGAGACCGAAGAGGAGAATGGCATGAACCCGGGAGGTGGAGCTTGCAGTGAGCCGAGATGGTGCCACTGCACTCCAGCCTGGGTGTCAGAGTGAGACTCCATCAAAAAAAAAGAAAGAAAGAGAGAGAGAAAAAAGAGAAGAGAAGAGATACCTGTGGGGGTTTACCAAGGCCGTATGCTGCCTGATTAAAATAGAAGAAAATGCATGGAGAGGAATGTGCTACCTTGCAGGCACAGAAGACAGAGGATGCTGTCAGCCTGCTAACCATGTGTGTGCTCCTAAGACAGCCAGCTTTGCATAGTTTCTTTTCTGTTCACGGTGGTTAAGCTGGGCTTTTCAGTAGTTGGATTTCAAAATTGCAAGTTCATAATTCCCAAGACTGGTGTTTAGAGAATATCAGCTCCAAACTTTGGGAAATCCCTATCCAAGCTCCTCTTCGTATTCTCCTTGCTGCTCATACAAACCTTTTCTCTGAGAAGTTAGTACCCACAATGTTTGACTTCAGGTTACTAATTTGTTGACAAATATCACTGTAGCTCAGCCAAACCCTCACCCCTCACCCCTTCTGTACAATGATTTGTCTTCATGCCCCTTGCATTCCTGAAATGAAAAAGAGGCAACAGAAAAATAATCAGCAATTATGACTTTATTACGTATAAAATTTGAGAGTTTATTAAAAACAAGTATGATCTAAAGGAAATGAAGACACAAAAAGTTATTTGAATGCTTTTTCTTGGTCTCATGAGAATCTGGGCAGGTGATGGTGGCTTGAACTAGGGTTGTGACAGTGGAGATAGAGAGAAATCGACTGAATTGCCAAACAGTTTAGAGGTAAAAGCAACTGCAATTTCACCTTTAGTCCTTTGACTAGATTGCAAAAAGAGTTCTCAAATAATTACTAGGATTTTTCATGATCAGGGTGACAGGATTATGGGAAGGTTCTTCCTTAAATGACAGAATGCAAATC
Organism: Homo sapiens; assembly: GCF_000001405.40. Taxonomy (NCBI): domain Eukaryota; kingdom Metazoa; phylum Chordata; class Mammalia; order Primates; family Hominidae; genus Homo; species Homo sapiens. The sequence continues at coordinate 131,418,813 of NC_000003.12, read as the reverse complement.
TCCCAGAGAAAGATAGCACCATCTCAATCCTTTTCTAGCCTTATCACCTTCGTGTGACTGACTTGACCAGTGTCATGCACAGGAGTCCCAGCCCAAAGACCTTCCTGGCCTGGCAGATAAAGTAAAAGCCCCTCTACTTGGAAAAGAATAAACAGTGGTCAACACTATTGCCAGGCAACATGAGGAGAGCTGAGAACAGTGGGGATCTGCAAATCAAGCCTGCGTCTGGAAACAGCAGTTTTCCCAGCCCAGCCCATTGCTAGCTCCTGACAAGGTGAGCACAGGATTGCTGGTTTCTGCCTTTCTAAGAGAAGCCAAAAAATGTGGATTTTTCAAAAAGTGTGAGATCTTTTCACTTTTAAATATTGGAAATCAACTCAAACTTTAAGAAACTCTGTTGTCCAGACTGTATGCTCAGACATTAACTCATTTAATCCTTACATTCATCCTATGAGGTTAAGTGTGATTGTTCTTTTCTGCAAATGAGAAAAACAAGTCTCAAACGGTGTGGGGCTTGCTCTATTTTAGTCCAAGATCATAGGCCTGAGTTTCTGTATCTGTAGAATGAGGAAGGGGTGGTTTCTGAGTCCCCTGAACTTGGGTGCGAGGGTCTGTACCAATGAAAATGTAGGCCGTTTGCTCAGAAACAAATCCATAGGCTTCATCATATTTTCAAAGAGATTCCTGATCCAAGCAGGCTGGGTGTCACCATCCCAGAGAGGATTGAATGAATTCTACCAGGTAGTCAGATGTCCAAAAACATGAAAAGATGCTCAGCTTTCCTGTAGTCAGGGAAATGTAAATGAAAGAAATGGGCTTGTCAGAAAGATTAAGCTATGCATGTCTAAGTGCACATGGCTAGTGCAGTGAAACTGTAAATGGTTCATTCAATCATTTATGGATCCTTTGGTCACCCACTTTTCTCTTTCTGTCCGTGGTAGTTCTAGAGCTGATACATGCTGACATGTGCCCAATAGTGTCACAATTTCTGTGCGCCAACCTTCAAGGAACAATTTTAAAGCTCAGTGCTTCAGATTACACTGTTCAAGGCCAATTCTAGCTGTTTGAAACCATTTGGGTGTCTTTTTACTGGTTTTATAACACCCTGTCCTCCTCTATACTGCAAAAAAATTTTCAGTAATAATCATGGAATGAAACTAATCATAATGAAGATAAGAAAAGAAATGCAGACTGAGAATGTTTCTATTATTGTATTATATATGTATAATTATGCCAAAAAATTAAAAAAATTAAACAAATATTGTATTACAAAAAGGAAAAATAATTATTGTTTTAAAATTATATCAATCTGATTTTTGAAAAAAGAAAAAAATTACCAACTTTATCTCAGTAATGAAAACATTATATTTCTATTTTAAAAATATTTTTATATTTCAGTTGTTTTTTGGGGAACAGGTCGTGTTTGGTTACATGTATAAGTTCTTTGGTGGTGATTTCTGAGATTTGGCACTCATTATCCAAGCAGTGTACACTGAGCCCAATGTGAAGTCTTTTATCCCTCACCCTCCTCCCACTCTTTCCCCCAAGTCTCCGAAGTCTATTGTATCATTCTTATGTCTTTGTGTCCTCATAGCTTAGCTCCCACACAGGAGTGAGAACATACGATGTTTGGTTTTCCATTCCTGAGTTACTTCACTTAGAAAAATGGTCTCCAGTTCCATCCAGGTTGCTGCAAATGCAATCATTTCATCCCTTTTTATGGCTGAGTAGTATCCATGATATGTATGTATGTATGTATATTATATATGTATTGTATATATACCACATTTTCTTGATCCACTCCTTGATTGATGGGAATTTGGGCTGGTTCCATATTTTTGCAATTACGAATTGTGCTGCTATAAACATCTGTATGCAAGTATCTTTTTCGTATAATGACTTCTTTTCCTCTGGGTAGATACACAGTTGTGGGATTGCTAGATCAAACCGTAGATCTGCTTTTAGTTCTTTAAGGAATCTCCACACTGTTTTCCATAGTGGTTGTACTAGTTTACATTCCCACCAACAGTGTCAAAGTGTTCCCTTTTCACCACATCCACACCAACATCTATTTTTTTTTGTTTTTTGATTATGGCCATTCTTGCAGGAGTAAGATGGTATCACATTGTGGTTTTGATTTGCATTTTCATAATAATTAGTGATGCTGAGCATTTTTTCATATTTGTTGGCCATTGGTATATCTTCTTTTGAGAATTGTCTATTCATGTCTTTAACCCACTTTTTGATGGGATTGTCTGTTTTGTTCCTGCTAATTTGTTTGAGGTCCTCGTAGATTCTGAATATTAGTCCTTTGTCAGATGTATAGATTGCAAAGCTTTTCTCCCACTCTATGTGAGAGAGAAAAAGCTGTCTGTTAACTCTGCTGATTATTTCTTTTGCTGTGCAGAAGCTTTTTGGTTTAATTAAGTCCCATCTATTTTATCTTTGTTTTTGTTGCATTTGCTTTTGAGTTGTTGGTCATGACGTCTTTATCTAAGCCAATGGCTAGAAGGGTCTCTCCAAAGTTATCTTCTAGAATTTTTATGGTTTCAGGTCTTAGATTTAAGTCTCTGATCCATCTTGAGTTGATTTTTATATAAGGTGGGAGATGAGGATCCAGTTTCATTCTTCTACATGTGGCTGGCCAGTTATCCCAGCACTGTTTGTTGAATAGGGTGTCCTTTCCCCACTTTATGTTTTTGTTTGCTTTGTCGAAGATCAGTTAGCTGGAAGTTATTTGGCTTTATTTCTGAGTTCTCTATTCTGTTCCATTGGTCTGTATGCCTATTTTTATATCAATACCATACTGTTTTGGTGACTGTGTTAGAGTTCTCTAGAGGGACAGAACTCATAGGATATATGTAGAGAGAGAACTCTGAGGGGTTGAAGGGGAGTTTATTAAGTGTTAACTCACACGATCACAAGGTCCCACAATAGGCCGTTTGCAAGCTGAGGAGCAAGGAAAGCCAGTCCCAGTCCCAAAACTGAAGAACTTGGAGTCCGATGTTCGAGGGCAGGAAGCATCCAGCACAGGAGGAAGATGTAGGCTGGGAGGCTAGGCTCTCCTAGTCTTTTCGTGTTTTTCTGCCTGCTTTATATTCTAGCTGTGCTGGTAGCTGATTAGATGGTGTCCACCCATATTAAGGGTGGGTTTGCCTTTCCCAGCCCACTGACTCAAATGTTAATCTCCTTTGGCAACACCATCACAGACACAACCAGAATGAATACTTTGCATCCTTCAATCCAATCAAGTTGACACTCGGTATTAACAGTGACAATAGCCCTATAGTATAGTTTGAAATCAGGTAATGTGATGCCTCCAGATTTGTTCCTTTGCTTAGGCTTGCTTTGGCTATGTGGGCTCTTTTTTGGTTGCATGTGAATTTTAGGATTTTTTTTGTAGCTCTGTGAAGAATGATGGTGGTATTTTGATGAAAATTGCATTGAATTTGTAGATTGCTTTTGGCAATATGATCATTTTTACAATATTGATTCTACCCATCCATGAGCATGGGATATGTTTCCATTTGTTTGTATCATCTATGATTTCTTTCAGTGGTTTTGTGATTTTTCTTGTAGAGGTCTTCTACTTCCTTGATTAAGTATATTCCAAAGTATTTTAATTTTTTTGCAGCCATTGTAAAAAGGGTTGAGTTCAAGGGGTCAGATTCTCAGCTTGGTCACTCTTGGTGTATAGCAGAGCTACTGATTTGTGCACATTAATTTTATATCCTGAAACTTTGCTGAAGTCATTACCAGTTCAAGGAGATTTTTAGATGAGTCTTTAGGGTTTTCTTGGTATATAATCATATCATCAGCAAACATGACAGTTTGACTTCCTCTTTACCTATTTGGATGCCCTTTATCTAATTCTCTTGTCTGATGGCTCTGGCTAGGACTTACAGTATTATGTTGAATAGAAGTGGTGAAAATGGGCATCTTTGTCTTGTTTCAGTTCTCGGGGGAATGCCTTCATCCTTTCCCCATTCCATATAATGTTGGCTGTGGGCTTGTCATAGATGGTTTTATTACATTGAGGTAAGTCCCTTGTATGCTGATTTTGCTGAGGGTTTTAATCATAAAGGAATGCTGGATTTTGTCAAATGCTTTTTCTGCATCTATTGAGACGATCATGAGGTTTTTGTTTTTAATTCTGTTTATGTGGTGTATCACATTTTTGAGTTGCATATGTTAAAGCATCCCTGCATTCTTGGTATGAAACTCACTTGATCATGGTGGATTATCTTTTTGATACATTGTTGGATTCTCTTAGCTAGTATTTTGTTGAGGATTTTTGCATGTATGTTCATCAGGGATATTGGTCTGTAGTTTTCTTTTTTGTTACGTCCTTTCCTGGTTTTGGTATTAGGGTGATACTGGCTTCATAGAATGATTTAGGGAGGATTCCCTCTTTCTATATCTTTTGCAATAGTGTCAATAGGATTGGTACCAATTCTTCTTTGAATGTCTGATAGAATTCAGCTGTGAATCCATCTGGTCCTGGACTTTTTTTGTTGGCAGTTTTTATTTTTATTTTTATTTATTTATTTTTTTATTATACTTTAAGTTTTAGGGTACATGTGCACATTGTACAGGTTAGTTACATATGTATACATGTGCCATGCTGGTGCGCTGCACCCACTAACTCGTCATCTAGCGTTAGGTATATCTCCCGATGCTATCCTTCCCCCCTCCCCCCACCCCACAACAGTCCCCAGAGTGTGATATTCCCCTTCCTGTGTCCATGTGATCTCATTGTTCAATTCCCACCTATGAGTGAGAATATGCGGTGTTTGGTTTTTTGTTCTTGCGATAGTTTACTGAGAATGATGATTTCCAATTTCATCCATGTCCCTACAAAGGACATGAACTCATCATTTTTTATGGCTGCATAGTATTCCATGGTGTATATGTGTGTTGGCAGTTTTTAAATTACCATTTCAATCTCGCTGCTTGTTATTTGTCTGTTCAGAGTTTCTATTTCTTCCTGGTTTAATCTAGGAGGGTTGTATATTTCCAGGAATTTATCCATCTCCCCTAGGTTTTCTAGTTTATGCACGTAAAGGTGCTTATAGTAGGCTTGGGTGATCTTTTGTATTGCTGTGGTGTCAGTTGTAATATCTCCCATTGCATTTCTAATTGAGCTTATTTGGACCTTCTCTCTTTGTTTTGTTTTGTTTTGTTTTGTTTAGTCTCATGAATGGTCTATCAATTTTATTTATCTTTTCAAAGAACCAGCTTTTTGTTTCATCTATCTTTTGTAATTTTTTTGTTTCAATTTCATTTAATTGTGCTCTGATCTTTGCTATTTCTTTTCTTCTGCTGGGTTTGTGTCTGATTTGTTCTTGTTTCTGTAGTTTCTTGAGGTGTGACCTTACATTTTGTATTTGTGGTTTTTCAGACTTTTTGACATAGGCATTTAATGCTATGAACTTTCCTCTTAGCACCACTTTTGCTGTATCCCAGAGGTTTTGATAGGTTGTGTCAATATTATTGTTCAGTTCAAATAATTTTTTAATTTCTATCTTTATTTCATTGCTGACCCAACAATCATTCAGGAGTAGGTTATTTAATTTCCATGTATTTGCATGGTTTTGAGGGTTCCGTTTGGAGTTGATTTCCAATTTTATTCCCCTGTGGTCTGAGAGAGTACTTGATATAATTTTGATTTTCTTAAATTTGTTGATACTTGTTTGGTGGCCTATTATATGGACTGTCTTGGAGAATGTTCCATGTGCTGATGAATAGAATGTATATTTTGCAGTTGTTGGGTAGAATGTTCTGTAAATATCTGTTAAATTCATTTGTTCTAAGGTATAGTTCAAGTCCATTGTTTCTTGGTTGACATTCTATCCTGATGACCTGTCTAGTGCTGTCAGTGGAGTATTGAAGTCCCCCACTATTATTGTGTTGCTCATTTCTTAGGTCTAGGAGTGATTATTTTATAAATTTGGGAGCTTCACTGTTAGGTGCATATGTATTTAGGATTGTGATATTTTCCTGTTGGACTAGTCCTTTTATCATTATATAATGTCCCTCCTTGTCTTTTTTTAACTGCTGTTGCTTTAAAGTTTGTATTGTCTGATATAAGAATAGCTGCTCCTGCTCACTTTTGGTTTCCATTTGCATGGAATATCTTTTTCCACCCCTTTACCTTAAGTTTATGTGAGTCCTTCTGTGTCAGGTGAGTCTCTTAAAGACAGCAGATACTTGGTTGGTGAATTCTTTCTGCCATTCTGTATCTTTTAAGTGGAGCATTTAGGCCATTTACATTCACCTTAGTATTGAGATGTGAGGTACTATTCTGTTCATTGTGCAATTTGTTGCCTGAATATCTTCTGCTTTTTTTCATCATGTCATTATTATATAGGTCCTGTCAGAATTGTGCCTTAAGGAAATTATATTTTGGTGTATTTTGAGGATTTGTTAGAGCTCCTTTTAGCAGTTCTGGTAGTGCTGGCTTGGTAGTGGTGAATTCTCTCAGCACTTGCTTGTCTGAAAAAGACTGTATCTTTCCCTCATTTATGAAGCTTAGTTTCACCGGAGACAGAATTATTGGCTGATAATTATTTTGTTTAAAGAGGCTAAAGATAAGACCCCAATCCCTCCTAGCTTGTAGGGTTTCTGCTAAGAGATCTGCTGTTAATCTGATAGATTTTCCTTTATAGGTTACCTGATGCTTTTGCCTCACAGCTCTTAAGGTTCTTTTCTTTGTCTTAACTTTAGATAATCTGATGACTATGTTCTGAGACGGTAATTTTTTTTGTGATGAATTCCCCAGGTGTTCTTTGAGTGTCTTGGATTTGGATCTCTAAATCTCTAGCAAGGCCGGGGATGTTTTCCTCAATTATTCCCTCAGATATGTTTTCCAAACTTTTAGATTTCTCTTCTTCCTTGGGAACACCAATTATTGTTAGATTTGGTAATTTAATGTAATCCCTTCTTGTCAGGGATTACAAACTCTTGGAGGCTTTGTACATTTTAAAAAATTATTTTTTCTTTGTCTTTGTTGGATTGGGTTAATTTGAAAGCCTTCTACTTGTTTGATTCTATTGCTGAGACTTTCCAGTGCATTTTGCATTTCTCTAAGTGTGTCCTTCATCTTCAGAAGTTGTGATTGTTTTTTATTTATGCTGTCTATTTCACTGGAGACTTTTCCATTCATATCCTGCATTTTTTTTTTTATTTCTTTAAGTCAGACTTCACCTTTCTCTGGTGCCTCCTTTATTAGCTTAATAATCGACCTTGTGAATTCTTTTCCTGGCAGTTTTTCTCCAGCAATTCAGAGATTTTGTCTTGGTTTGGATCCAGTGCTGGTGAGCTAGTGTGATCTTTTGATGGTGTTAAAGAACCTTGTTTTATCATATTACTAGAATTGTTTTTCAGGTTTCTTCTCATTTGGGTAGACTGGGTCAGAGGGAAGATCTGAGAATCAAGGATTGCTGTTCAGATTATTTTGCCCCACAGGGGTGCTCCCTTGACGAGGTCCTCTCCCCCTTCCCCTAGGGATGGGGCTTCCTGAGAGCCAAACTGCAGTGATTGTTATTTCTCTTCTGGATCTAGCCACTCAGCAGAACTACCAGGCTCCAGGCTGGTACTGGAGAGTGTCTACAAGGAGTTTTTTTATGTGACTCATCTTCTGGTCTGTCGGCCGTGGATACCAGCACCTGCTCCAGTAGAGGTGACAGGGGAGTGAAGTGGACTCTGTGAGGGTCCTTGGTTGTATTTTTCTTAAGTGCACTGGTCTTGTGTTGGCTGGTCTCCAGCCAGGAGGTGGTGCTTTCTTTTTTTTTTTTTTTTTTTTTTTTTGGTTTTGTTTTTTTAATTTTTTTTTTTATTATACTCTAAGTTTTAGTGTACATGTGCACATTGTGCAGGTTAGTTACATATGTATACATGTGCCATGCTGGTGCGCTGCACCCACTAACGTGTCATCTAGCATTAGGTATATCTCCCAATGCTATCCCTACCCCCTCCCCCGACCCCACCACAGTCCCCAGAGTGTGATATTCCCCTTCCTGTGTCCAAGTGATCTCATTGTTCAATTCCCACCTATGAGTGAGAATATGCGGTGTTTGGTTTTTTGTTCTTGCGATAGTTTACTGAGAATGATGGTTTCCAATTTCATCCATGTCCCTACAAAGGACATGAACTCATCAATTTTTATGGCTGCATAGTATTCCATGGTGTATATGTGCCACATTTTCTTAATCCAGTCTATCATTGTTGGACATTTGGGTTGGTTCCAAGTCTTTGCTATTGTGAATAGTGCCGCAATAAACATACGTGTGCATGTGTCTTTATAGCAGCATGATTTATAGTCCTTTGGGTATGTACCCAGTAATGGGATGGCTGGGTCAAATGGTATTTCTAGTTCTAGATCCCTGAGGAATCGCCACACTGACTTCCACAATGGTTGAACTAGTTTACAGTCCCACCAACAGTGTAAAAGTGTTCCTATTTCTCCACATCCTCTCCAGCACCTGTTGTTTCCTGACTTTTTAATGATTGCCATTCTAACTGGTGTGAGATGATATCTCATAGTGGTTTTGATTTGCATTTCTCTGATGGCCAGTGATGATGAGCATTTCTTCATGTGTTTTTTGGCTGCATAAATGTCTTCTTTTGAGAAGTGTCTGTTCATGTCCTTCGCCCACTTTTTGATGGGGTTGTTTGTTTTTTTCTTGTAAATTTGTTTGAGTTCATTGTAGATTCTGGATATTAGCCCTTTGTCAGATGAGTAGGTTGCGAAAATTTTCTCCCATGTTGTAGGTTGCCTGTTCACTCTGATGGTAGTTTCTTTTGCTGTGCAGAAGCTCTTTAGTTTAATTAGATCCCATTTGTCAATTTTGGCTTTTGTTGCCATTGCTTTTGGTGTTTTGGACATGAAGTCCTTGCCCACGCCTATGTCCTGAATGGTAATGCCTAGGTTTTCTTCTAGGGTTTTTATGGTTTTAGGTCTAACGTTTAAATCTTTAATCCATCTTGAATTGATTTTTGTATAAGGTGTAAGGAAGGGATCCAGTTTCAGCTTTCTACATATGGCTAGCCAGTTTTCCCAGCACCATTTATTAAATAGGGAATCCTTTCCCCATTGCTTGTTTTTCTCAGGTTTGTCAAAGATCAGATAGTTGTAGATATGTGGCATTATTTCTGAGGGCTCTGTTCTGTTCCATTGATCTATATCTCTGTTTTGGTACCAGTACCATGCTGTTTTGGTTACTGTAGCCTTGTAGTATAGTTTGAAGTCAGGTAGTGTGATGCCTCCCGCTTTGTTCTTTTGGCTTAGGATTGACTTGGCGATGCGGGCTCTTTTTTGGTTCCATATGAACTTTAAAGTAGTTTTTTCCAATTCTGTGAAGAAAGTCATTGGTAGCTTGATGGGGATGGCATTGAATCTGTAAATTACCTTGGGCAGTATGGCCATTTTCACGATATTGATTCTTCCTACCCATGAGCATGGAATGTTCTTCCATTTGTTTGTGTCCTCTTTTATTTCCTTGAGCAGTGGTTTGTAGTTCTCCTTGAAGAGGTCCTTCACATCCCTTGTAAGTTGGATTCCTAGGTATTTTATTCTCTTTGAAGCAATTGTGAATGGGAGTTCACTCATGATTTGGCTCTCTGTTTGTCTGTTGTTGGTGTATAAGAATGCTTGTGATTTTTGTACATTGATTTTGTATCCTGAGACTTTGCTGAAGTTGCTTATCAGCTTAAGGAGATTTTGGGCTGAGACGATGGGGTTTTCTAGATAAACAATCATGTCGTCTGCAAACAGGGACAATTTGACTTCCTCTTTTCCTAATTGAATACCCTTTATTTCCTTCTCCTGCCTGATTGCCCTGGCCAGAACTTCCAACACTATGTTGAATAGGAGCGGTGAGAGAGGGCATCCCTGTCTTGTGCCAGTTTTCAAAGGGAATGCTTCCAGTTTTTGCCCATTCAGTATGATATTGGCTGTGGGTTTGTCATAGATAGCTCTTATTATTTTGAAATACGTCCCATCAATACCTAATTTATTGAGAGTTTTTAGCATGAAGGGTTGTTGAATTTTGTCAAAGGCTTTTTCTGCATCTATTGAGATAATCATGTGGTTTTTGTCTTTGGCTCTGTTTATATGCTGGATTACATTTATTGATTTGCGTATATTGAACCAGCCTTGCATCCCAGGGATGAAGCCCACTTGATCATGGTGGATAAGCTTTTTGATGTGCTGCTGGATTCGGTTTGCCAGTATTTTATTGAGGATTTTTGCATCAATGTTCATCAAGGATATTGGTCTAAAATTCTCTTTTTTGGTTGTGTCTCTGCCCGGCTTTGGTATCAGAATGATGCTGGCCTCATAAAATGAGTTAGGGAGGATTCCCTCTTTTTCTATTGATTGGAATAGTTTCAGAAGGAATGGTACCAGTTCCTCCTTGTACCTCTGGTAGAATTCGGCTGTGAATCCATCTGGTCCTGGACTCTTTTTGGTTGGTAAACTATTGATTATTGCCACAATTTCAGAGCCTGTTATTGGTCTATTCAGAGATTCAACTTCTTCCTCGTTTAGTCTTGGGAGAGTGTATGTGTCGAGGAATGTATCCATTTCTTCTAGATTTTCTAGTTTATTTGTGTAGAGGTGTTTGTAGTATTCTCTGATGGTAGTTTGTATTTCTGTGGGATCGGTGGTGATATCCCCTTTATCATTTTTTATTGTGTCTATTTGATTCTTCTCTCTTTTTTTCTTTAGTAGTCTTGCTAGTGGTCTATCAATTTTGTTGATCCTTTCAAAAAACCAGCTCCTGGATTCATTGATTTTTTGAAGGGTTTTTTGGGTGGTGCTTTCAAGAGTGCATCAGCTGCAGTAGGATAGGGAGGATACAAGCTTGTCCTTGGTCAGGTGGTGTGCTGGGCCACAGAGCTCCTAAGAGATTATGTCCTTTGTCCTTGGAGTTCCTCGGCTGTCCCATGGAGCCTGCAGTGGCAATCCACCTCCTTCAAAGGGTTTGCGGATTCTCTTCTCTTGGCTTTCCTGGTATATTCCTGTGGTGGTTCTTGGAGCAAAATTTCACGATGTGGGTCTCCACATGCTGGTCTGTCTATCCGAGTGAGAACTGCAAGCTAGTCCTGCATCCTATCTACCATTTTCCTCTGAAAACATTACATTTCTTGATTTTGAGCTTTAACTTCTGCAAATGTCAGTTATTTTGTCAACATTTGCATATTCATGTTAAAGAAATAGCCAGATTTCTCCACCTATCTTCACTCACAGTTCAGTAAAAACCCATTATTAATTTTAATTCTGAAAGTTTCTTTAACACAAAGCAACAGATAAATTTTAGAAAAGTCTTAAGCATAAAGATAAATTAGAGATTAATAAAAATCACATTTCACAATAAATTCCAGAAATTGTACCATTGTTCACATCTTTGTTTCTTCAGGATTGACCTCAGTGGATTTCAAATGTCTCTGCAGTTGAAACACTTCCACTAAAATATTTTTGCCAGAAAACTCATTGTAAGTTTCTATTACATTTTAGAAAATCTCTGAAGGTTCCTCTTCTACTAAAACTTAACAAATGATTGAATAGTGAACACTGACATGATTTGATCCTCTGCTGTAGAGTAAATGTCTAGTTCTTGGTGAAAATAATCAAGGTGTTTAAATATTGCCCTTGTGATTTCTTGGCACTGTAAGACCAGCACATTTTATCATTTTTCCTGGCACTCTTCTTCAACATTTGATTATGTTTTTCTATGGAATTATTTATTTCCTTATTTTTCATGGTTATTGCGTTGTTCGTGGGCTTCTCCACAATTTCTGTGCACCAAACTTCAAGGAACAATTTTAAAGCCTGGTGCTAATGTATCTTCAGAGTACATTATTCAAAACTGATTCTAACTGTTTGGAAATATTTTTGTGGTTTTTTTAATCTCAAAAAAGAAAAATTGCGTTCAGCTATCATGGTTTATTTTAAATCTCCTGTTTAAGCACAAAAATGTGTGGTACCACAATGGCTGCATACGTAAACCACACCTGAAATTAGGGAGAATTTTTGAGAACCTCATAAATTTACTCTTGAAACAAACATGTGTAGCTGAGTCCATGGATGTTTGAGGCCAAGTACATAACAGGGATTTGAAGCTTTACATATGTATTCTATCTATTCTTAAGACTCAACAGTAACCACAGAAATTGCCTAGAAGTTAGGCCAATGAAAGATTTTTGAGGGGAGGGATATGTTACCAATAACACTGTTTAGCATGGCCAATGTCTGGTGATAATAAAAAGCAAACCAACTTTTAGTCAGTTTTATTACTGTTTTTGTATCCTCTACATACAGTGTGACGTTTTATTGTTTATACCTTGGGCAGCTACTCCCACGGTTCCACCCTTGGTATGCTAATGTTCACAGATGTTACATTCATTAATAATTCTGAGAGTCATTAAAAGATGTGATAGCATGCAGTGCTGGCCAGGATGGGGGTGTCTGGAGTAGGGGGAGACAGAAGAGGAAAAGAGAGGGCAGATTACAGTAGACTCATGCATTGCTGGAGGACATGGAGATCATTCTAGCCCTTCGATAGAATTTGGCAATAGCTATTAAAATTAAATGTAAGCATTCCTTTTAATCCAACAATCCTACTCCTGGGAATCAATCCTGTAGAAATAGAAGTTTTAGTTTATAAGGATCTATGGCCAGTAATGTTTATTGGGCATTGCTTGTGATAGAAAAAATGAAAAGAAGCACATCAATAAGGGAAGATTGGAAATATTGTCATATGTCTGAACCGTGGAATTCCACACAGCCACTGATAATTAGATTTGTACCGACCAACTTAGAATGATTTTCATAATGTTTTATTAAGTGAAAAAAGAAGGTGGGCTAAAAGTGTTTATCAACAACAACAAGGCCTTATGCATGTGAATATGTGACTTTGTATGGTTGTAAGAGCCTAGAGAAAAACTTTTATGAATCGAAGGGGTCATGCACTCTTGGTTTATTAGAGAGAAGAGGGGGAAAGGCCAAAGGAAGAGAAAAAATATTTTAAAAGCTGTTTTTAATTGTGGGGCTCTTCTTTATTTTCTTTTATCTACAGCTTTTTACCATTTATGTAAAATTATGTGTGTGTCTGTACATAGCCACAGAGGGCTATGAAGAGAGAATGCCAGCAGGCTCTCCAGCATCATCCACTAACACTTTCTAAGATGACAGAAATGTGCTACATCTGCACTGTCCAAAACAGTAGCCGTGAGCCTCCTGAGCTGCTGAGCACTTGGAATATGGTTAGTGTGACCAAGAAAGTAAATTGTACTGTACTGGCTAAACTTAAATAGTTTAACTATTGTAGACAATAGTTTTCTATAAGCAATAGAGTGTGGTTTATTTGTATTTTCTTCCTTCTACTCTTCTATAGTGTTTAAATATTTCTATAGTTACTAATTATGTAATCAGAAAAAATTAGGGAGAAGTAGTATGTGTAGTGATTAAGAGCTCAGAGTTAGATCCAAACAGCCTGGTTCAAATCCTAGACCTCCTTCGTCATTGCTTAAAATTTTGAGAACATTTCTTAATCTGAAATTATTTCCCTCACTGTGCCTCAGTTTTCTCACCAGTAAAACGGACATAATCATGATACCTATGTCATGGAGTTATCATGAGGATTAAATGAATGTATACTTGTAAGTGCTTAGAACAATACCTAGCACATGGCAAGTGTTTGATAAGATTTACAAATAGAAATATTATTGGTTGTACTTGTCAAGGGTCTTAGTTGCAAGGAATAGAAGATTCTGGCTAAAGAATTTACTGAATAGATACTTGTGACTCACAAAAATGTTGATGTGTCTGGAGGATCAAGTTCAAGGCCAAAGGGCAGATCCCAAATGATATCTCATTACTGGTTCTGGTGAGGAAGCCGCTGTGCTAATGTTGTCTGAGAGTAATTGCTTCCCTTCTATTCCAGAGTAAAAGTCTTTGCTGGTGCATCAGATTGGCAGAGCATAGATCACATGTCTGTGCCCTAGCTGCAAGGGAGTCTAGGTAAGCAAGCCCTCTTCTAACACTTTCAGCTTCTGTTGGGAAGGTGACCAAAAGTTGGGAGCTCCCTGCAAATAAAAATGAACTTCATGTGCTGGGCAGCCAAAAACAAAAGATTTTTAAAATATACAATAAATGCCATTTAAACTAGGGAAAGGCTGGGGAGAAAGGGAAACTAATGTAAAATTTTTAAGTAGACCTGGATTCTGGACTCATTAAATACATTTTAGGGGTAACTAGCTCTCTGAAACCTTGTTTTTGTATCTGAAATCAAAGTGTTGAATCAGATGAACTCTCTGGATGTTGATGCTGTGAAATGTCACATTCTCAGATCATCTCTGTGGTTGGCATGACTTGAAACAAAGAAAAAGAAGATCCCATAATTACGCTGAAAAAATTATTATTTTTATCTTAAGTCACCCCAAAATTTGTATTTAGAAATGGACAAGGTAAACATTTTTATAGGAATTTTTATTTCTTCCTTTAAAGTAACTTGTCAGTATTATACTGTTGGTTATTGGATTTGAGAGAAGACCTTCTCTCTCCAGACCCAAAGCCAGTCATCTTGTGTGCTCTGAAATGGACCAGACTATTTTTAAAAGGGAGAGAAAGAGGTGCCATGAGGTGATAAAAGGGACAAAAAAAGGTAGACTTTGTTTCTATAAAAGTTTTTTGGAACATGATAGCTTTTTTCATGTCAGCCATACTCAGAGATAAGTGGGAAAAACTCCTGTCTAGTTCTCCCACATCTGCCATGAAAGTTACTAGGGTTCTTATAGGCTTTTCTTCTGAATTACTATAGCATATATTTAGGATTATCCCTATTTCATCTGAAAGTTTTTATTTAAATGTACTGCTTGTTTGCACATGTTTGTTTAAGTTTTGCTGAAATCTTAAGTATCATTCTGTGACTTCTTAATTTCTCTTCCTGTGGGGGGTGTTTCTCTTACTTCATAAACTGAAGACAGGGCTTTCCAAAAATGTTCACATCCAAGCACTCATAAAAATTGTATTTGTATCTGAGGTTACTTCAGATCCTGAGTTGTCCTGGGGACTCCAGCCTAACCACCCTGAAAACTGAGGGCACCAATGATGCTGCCATCTGTCACTTTCGTGGTTCACCAGTGTGTGAGGCACTCCTCAGAAAACTCTGGCCTAAGCCCATGGGAAAAATTAAGTTTGATATACCAAAGCAGTCTTTACATACAGTTTTCCAGGGATGGGTCTGCTAAAGCATGCAATATATCAGAAAGGATAGGTTTCATGACAGTGAAGAGAATGGCGGACTAGCCCAGAGGTCTGTTTCAGTGAACTGAAATGGATGAGGAAGCTGAGGCCCAGAGAGATAAGTGACTTGGCCTAGGTCACACAGCCACTTGGCAGCAGGCCAGGCCGAGATTGCCAGGTGAAGAACCCTCTATCATTTAGAAGAGGTTTGGCCTCAAACTTAAGCATTGATATCAAATGCATTTTAGAATCTTGGAGTTTTATTTTTATCTAATAATAGAATTCTGCAAATTATAATCTTGGGATTTACCCAAGCAATTAGTTCAATGATTCTTTTGTAAAGTTTGTAGACACTGGGGTTAAAAAGGAACGAAACAGTACTTTATTTTAAGCAGCTTAATTAATGTCTTTAGCTACTCCATCTATTTATCACTTTATTCTAGAGTGTTTTTGCAATGCCCAATTCTTTGGCAGTGCATAGAGAAACACAGTTATTAATTACTATTATCATAATCACTTCACAAAACAATAAGTACTCATACTTCCTAGGATTGAAAGTTTCACACCAACATTCCTCCAAGATAAGCATCTTTAGAGTAAAATATTCATATGAATCATCAAGAGCTATTATTAAACGCTTTTCAGAGTTTCTGAGTCATTACCTTAAAGATTTAACTTAGGTTTACTTTGAGAGGAAAATGGAAGGCTAGCATTTAATATCTTTTCTTCTCCTGTAAGAAGTGCTGGTTCTTGACTAGGCCTCCGTGGGCGGCCTTCCCTACCACTCTTATGGGGGAAGTAGACTCAGAGGTGCATTGTGTCTATAAGGAACATGTTCAGGCCTCTTCCTCTTTCTGTTAAGGTGGTATACGAGAATGGGCTGCTGGTTCCCTTCCCCTAAATTTACTGCAGATAGCTCCAGAAGCAGATGCAATCAAAGCTCTGAGGAAATTATCAGTGACACCCAAAAGGGTGAGAATGCCCTGGAGAGACAGAAGGCTGTCTAGCGTAGGAGTGTGAGGAATGAGCGGTGGCAGGCTGGGGCAGACAGCTGGGCATGTGCAGCAGGCAGAGGGGATAGTGGAGGAAAGCCTTTGGGTTCTGCCTTTTCCTCTTCACTGCCTGGCTTTAAATGAATCCTTGCTGGTCCCTTTGCAATTGAAACTGGCAGCATCAACGCAGGCTGCTAGTGTTGTCAGGGTGCATAAATGTACTGCAAAAACCCTGTTGGGATGAGGGTTGATGAAAACAGGACTGGCCAGCTGATATTTAACATCCACTCATCCACCTCTTCCACATCAAACTCCCTGGGATGGCAGATTTTAATCTAGGTGACTATTGCCCACAGGAGTTGCCCGGCAGAGTGGTACCAAAAATAGTAGCCTATCGAATTCTGTGGTATCTGGAGCATCCAGCTCTGGGGTTTATTCCTTCTCTGTTCTTAAACTCACATGGAGGGATTCAGCTCCTGCTTAAAACACATTACCAGGCAGGGTAGATTAAAACAGAAACATGATTTCCCAGGGTAATATAACTGTCTCCTAAAGACAACAAACGTTGACTGGAACTTATAGAGCAAGAGCTTAAATAAACAACAAATATAACTTAAAGTGAGAATGTATTAGCAATCTGAAGCAGGAAAAGAATGTTTCAGAGGTATATACATATGTGAACATTTATCAAATTGTACACTTTAAATATGTGCAGTTTATTTTATGCAAAGTATACCACAATGAAGCTGTTAAAAAGAAAACTAACCACTTACTCACAAAATAAAATGCAAATCTAACAATATCACCCTATTTAACACTCTTCAATGGTTTCCCAATTATCTTAGGATAAAATTCAGTCTTTAGAATGTGGCTTGGAAAGCTTGCATGATCTGGTCCCTACTCAATACATCCTTTCCATACCCAAACTCTCAAATAGGAGACCCAGACATCTCAATTTCTTTCGATTCTTGGGTCTGCCTCCAAGCATTTGCATTCTGTTGCTTGTTAGCATTTTTCCCATATTCCACCCCTACACATACATATACACATTTACCTGGATAATTGCTTTAGGATTCTGCTTAGATATCCTTTTCATGAAGCTCTCACTGACCATCTCTCCCACCCCCATGACTGAGTGGAATCCCTCCTATGCGCACCTACAGTACTCTGGGCTTCCCATATTGCTACAACGTGGGTGTAGTTTATTTGACCCCACAAGTCTCATGTTGAAATTTGATTCCCAGTGTTGGAGGTGGAGCCTGGTGGGAGGTGTTTGGGTCATGGGGATGGACCCCTTATGAATGGCTGTCTGATGCCATCCTCACTGGGAGTGAGTCCTTATTCTTTGTTCCAGTCAGAACTCATTGTTGAAAAGAGCCTAGCACCTCCCTCCCCTCTCTGTCGCTCCCTCTCTCACAATGTGACACACTGTCTCCTCTTTGCCTTCTGCCATGAGTGGAAGCAGCCTGAGGCTTCTGCCCACAGCAGATGCTGGCACCATGCTTCTTGTACAGCCTGTAGAACTGTGAGTCAAATAAACCTCTTTTCTTTATAAGTTACCCAGCCTCAAGTATTCCTTTATAGCAACAAAAATGGATTAAGACACATAGCTTATCATGTATCCCTCTGTCTTGTGAGTGCCTGTTTACTTCTCTGATGCCTCACACCATCCTGTGAGAATGTTTGAGAGCAATAAATGTCCCTGTCTTGTGTATCGCAGCTCCAGTGCCTTGGATACTATCTAGAATATGGTATATTTCTTTAATGATTCAATCAATAAGTCAGTGGAACATGGAGGATCCGAGAGTAAGTCTTAATACCAAATTTAAAGGAAACCGAGGACAACCCTGTGAAAGGGAGAGAAGCAGGGAAGTACAGGGGTAAGAGCTCAAGCAATGTCAGGTAGACTTGGGTTCTCATATCAGCTCTGTCACTTAGTAATGTGACCTTGTGGAAGCTCCCTAACCTCACTGTGCCTCACAATATCCTCATCTGTTAAGTGGAGATAATAGTGATACCTATTTCATTGGATTATTATGAGGATAAAATGAGATAATCTGTGTAACTTTAGGTTCAATGCCTAGTTTGGCCCAATAAGTGTTAATTATAACTAAACAAAACAATATCATAGTGCTTAAGAGCAAAAAGAACTAAATAATAACAAAATCCAGTCAAATAAATGTTTCTGGTGTTACCAAAATGGAAAAGCCAGTTATAGGTAAGTAGCAGATTTGATCAATGGTAGCTCAAACTTACAGCTTAGCCTTACAGGCTTTCTGTCCAATTTTCCTGTAGTGTTGGTGAGTCTAAGGGTACTGAAGTTTGTGTTTCATGTTTTTGGGATTTCTGATTTTCTTCAAAACCTTGCTGAAGTAATATCTAGAGCTGCGGAGCCCATAAGAAGGTTCCAGCTAGGGAAGGTAGGGAGGAGATGCCACTCTCTGCTTACACGTGAAGAAGCCCTTTGCAGTGGAGACTGTGGTGTGTTTCCTGGAACCTCCACTCTAGGACCGAAGCATTCATTCCTCCAGCTTCTAGGTGTGTTGAAGTCCAACACTCAGGTGAGACCCTATCTGGGAATTTGCCATGGCTAGAGAGAGCTGCCTCCCCCAAAGTCACTCTCTTCCCAGGGCGGCCTACATCTAACAGCTGATTGAAGTGGGAGTACAGAGGCATCAACCTCTCACACCAGTTGGGCACATCTCTGAAGGCCATTCTAGCCCCAGGCCTCCCTGTAGAATTGACCTCTGTGGTGGGTGCATAGCAGTTCAGCATTTCTCTCTGCCCAGTATGTGCCTGAGAGCACTTATCAACAAACTCCTTGCCTGCACATCTCAGGCTCAGAAGCTGCTCTCCTGGAAACTGGACCTGCGACTACCATCTCTTGACCCACTGGATGCCTTAATGCCCATATATCCAGGTGTCACTGGGCAAGCAGTCAATGCAGAGATTGGCCACCTTCTCTGAAGCTGAAGCAATGGGGCAGCAAAGAGTGTCTGCGATCAGAAGAAGAAAGGAAAATTGCCACCATCCTTAGGAATTTGACATATGGAGTTATATTTCAGACAACATTTTGGGGAGAGGCCTTGAGTTTATTGAATGATCAGAAGAAAAAGGTATTTAGGATGGAAATCTGGGAGATCAAGGCACAGTTGACTGAACCATTCCAATTCCAAATTGTAAGCTCCATGAGGGTAGGGATTTTTGTCTAGTTTGTTCATTGCTGCATCTCTAGCCAGACCTAAAACAGCATCTGGCATATAAGAGGTACTCAATCAATATTTAGTGAGTCAGTGACTATGGAATTCAGCAGAGGAGAGGTGGTCAGGGAAGGAGGCAAACCTAAAAAGCAAAATGAGAAATGTGACTTAATTCAAGTCCTAGAGAGGGAATGAGGCAGTGAAATTTGGCGAATCAGATCATGAGCTGTGACCACAGGCAGATTTGAGTTCAACTCAGGCTTTGCTACTTAGTAGCTCTGTGACTACTGGAAAAATCATTTAGCCTCTCCAAGACTCAGTTTTATCATCTGTACAATGGGACTTATATTAAATATGGTGATTCTGCAAATTAAATAAGGTGATTTGCATGACATATCTTGTACATAGTAGACACTCAATTATCTGTTCATAAGGAGGCACATATGGTACATACATATGCATACACACACACACATGCACACACACGCACAATCTCAAGGGATTCTAGGGTAATAGTGTTTATAACATGCTTTCATATCCCCAAGAGGAAGAAGTATGCTACTTCGTCAGTTGTAAAAGGCTTGATAATATATTGGCTTTAAGGATGACACAAATTAATGCAAAAAACATGTGAACAAGTGGAGCTTATAAACTTACGCGGCTGCACCAGCCCATTACTTTGAGTCCTAACCATATGACTAAGTTTTTAGTTGCTTAAGCAAATAAATGTTATCAAACACCCTTTGAAGAACAAGTTAATTTGAAATTGAAGTTTTTTCTTAAATTGACCATTTGAGATATGGCTGCTGAGGTTTAAATATTCAGCTTTGACTTAAAGTAGAACAGTTATGCCAGATAGATGAGAGGCCATTTGACCCTTTTATCTCTGCCCAAGTATTCTAAACAACACAAGCTATGGACACAGATTGGATATGTTTTTAGTTACCACAGTATATAAGCTGCACAATCCATTTCTGACTTTGGTCTCTTATTAAATATGGGGTGGAAGTGGGTAGGCTGTCAAGAAGAACCAACAATTTCATATAAATCCTTCAATTCCAGGGAATTGTTTGAAATCAGGCAGAAAATACAAGTGTCATTTGTGAACCTTTTATACTTCAATTGACAAAAATAATCGTATACTTAATTTGGAGACAGAGTTCTGCCTTCCATGACACCCTTATTGTGGTTCTCTTCCTCTCCTCATTGAATGGTAGCCATGAAATTTGATCCTATCCCTCTTGACACAGTGACGGCTTTAGGTCGCCCAGGTCTCAGTCAATCAGCTCAATCCCTTCCTCTGACCACAGGGATTGGTTCAGGGTGGACCAATCATTGCAAACGTAAGGACTGTCTCTTAGATTCAAATAAGGGGAACCAGCCTTGAGATGGAGCCTTCACTATACATATTAGAGTCTAGTGAGACAGAAAAACTGAATTATCAAGCCCCTGGATCAAATTCCCCTGAAACTCATATACCCTGAGATTTTCCAGTATACGAACCAAAAAGGTTTAAATTGGATTTTCTATTACTTACAACCAATGACTTCATAAATAATACATGTCCATCAGCAAATAAAAATGTATTTGCATTTCCAAAACTATATTTGACTTCCTACATTCCATGACAGGGGGCTCAGCACACAACTCCCTGTATTGGCACGTATAATAAAGGGAGATAGGCTTACTTAAGCAAAATGATTTTTATTCACATCGGAAGTGGAGTTTGAGTCCTGAATTTGCACTTTGTTTGTATGTGAGCACTGAATTTGAGCTATAGAGTTCCAGTCATTATGGCTGCCTCCATGAGTAGTAATTAAGCAGTTACTGCTCAGAAAGTCATGCAGAATCAGAATTAGATCTGGCACCCACCTGACAGGTCCAACATCAATGAGGCAACCAGACAGGCAAAACACCTTAATATCCATTAGCCAATGAATAGGTCAGTAGAAATTAAGGGTGAGTGCCCATACTTCTACAGGGTTAACTTCAAAAGGTCAGTTTTCTAGCTTGCTTTGTCAACAAGAAAGGGAAGATGGGTTTGCTTAAGGAAGTTCGGAATGAAGTTTATTAGTGAACTTACCCACCCTTTTCTTCCTGTCCATTTTGTTTGGTCTTCCATAATTGGCAAGCAGCATTTATTAATACATGTTCCTGACATAAAGCTATGAAGTAGGTTTTCCTCTTCTAGTAAGAAATTCGGTCAAAACCACCCAGGTGCCCACATCTCAATTAAAAACAAAAAGACAGGAAACAATTGGGTAGTTCTACTAGTTTTTAATATTCTGTTTTTTCACAGCCCAGAATGTTCTAATTGGGAATGACAAGATTGCAGATCACAGGCAGAGCTGGGAGGTTTTCAGCCAAATTTAATGATACCTGAAAAATCCACCATTCTTCCAATGGGCTTGGTTTACTGGAAATAACACCTGCTGTAAATAACTTACATCTTAGTATATGGGATAAATTGCATGAATAGTTTTTTGTTGGTTTGTTTGTTTTTTGAGATGGAGTGTCACTCTTATTGACCAGGCTGGAGTGCAACGGCATGATCTCAGCTCACTGCAAACTCTGCCTCCTGGGTTCAAGTGATTCTCTGGCCTTAGCCTCCCAAGTAGCTGGGATTACAGGAGTATGCCACCATGCCTGGGTAATTTTATATTTTTAGTAGAGTTGGGGTTTCACCATGTTGGTCAGGCTAGTTTCGAACTCCTGACCTCAAGTGATCCACCCACCTTGGCCTCCCAAAGTGCTGGGATTATACGCGTGAGCCACCAGGCCCGGCTGCATGAATAGTTTTAATTCTCCACCTCTCCTTGTATCTATTCCCACCTGTTAGCATTTGACTTTGAAGTTCCTCTTACCAAAAGGCAGAATATATTTCCCTGCCTCTTAACTTTGGGTTCAGCCATGTGACTTGCTTTCACCAATGGAATGTTAGTGGGTGTGGTATCACTAATGGCTGGAAAAGCACTTGTGTAATTGTTCCTTGCTTCACTGCTGTAACCAAGAGATGAACATCTTGATCTAGCCCACTGGTCCCAGGAGAAGGATGAGAAACACATGCAGCAGAATCAGTCCCAGCCAAGCCCAACCCAGAATAGCTAACTCCAGGCCAGCTGGAGGGCTGCAGACACACAAGCTAAATAGATGATTATGTTGCTCACTGCTGACATTGTGTGTTGTTATAGAGCATGATTGTGGTAATTGTTAATTAATGGAATGTCAATTAATTGTTATTTAATAAAATCCAGGGTGCCCCATGCCTCCTTCTGAACATAATTTTGTTTCCATTTTAGTAATGCCTCTGTCGCTCCATTTTTTATCCTTGAAACTTTGTGGTTTTTCCCCGATACTAACTTAATACCTTGACATCCAATACAGAGCTCCAAGGGAAATGTGGCTTGCCTAAGATTTTTAGCAAAGACTTTTGTTATACCATTGGCTATAACATATGAACTTGCAGGCTTAACCTGCCCACTACAACAAACATATGACAAATTGCCACCAGCTGTCATACTAGCAGATCTGCAGTGACGATTTACTAATTTAATTCCCTTAAAATGTTATAATGGGCCAAGTGTGGTGGCTCATGCCTGTAATCTAAACACTTTGGGAGGCTGAGGCAGGTGAATGACTTGAGCCCAGGAATTCAAGACCAGCCTGGGCAACGTGGCAAAACCCTGTCTCTACCAAAAAATATATGTGTGTGTATATATATATATATATATATATATGTATATACATATATATATATATATGTATATATATATACATGTATATACATATATATATATGTATATATATATATATATGTATATACATATATATATATATATATGTATATATATATATATGTATATATATATATATGTATGTGTATATATATATATATATATATATATATAAAATTAGCCAGGTGTGGTGGCACACACCTGTAGCTATTTGTGGGGGCTGAGGTGGAAGGGTCACCTGAACCCAGGGAGGTCAAGGCTGCAGTCAGCTGTGATCGCACCACTGCACTCCAGCCTGGGTGACAGAGTGAGACCCTTTTCTCTCTCTCTCTCTCTCTCTCTCTCTCTCTCTCTCTCTATATATATATATATATATATATATATATATACACATATATATAAATATATATATGTATATATATATTTATATATATATACACACACACAGATATACATTCATATAGATAGAGATATATATACTACTATATATATGATATATATATATGATAGCATGAAACAGGAACAATATTCTCAACTCACCAGTGTTATCTTTAAAAGCTCCATGTAGCTAATACATAAAGATATTTATTCTAGTATTGAGCACTATTGAAAAAAATATGAATATTCTACAGTTTTTTTAAAGATAGACCTTCACACTAAGAAGATGAATGATAAAATTTCAGGTATCAGCCAATAGGTGGGAGAGGGTCTGAGGAGTGTCTCTAGGAACCAATAAAACCTTATTACTTGGTAATCGATAAGAATTAAGTTCCAAACTTCAACATGTACCTTAGGTAAATTTATCTGTTCTGTACCCATCATTTGAATGTAATGGTAGTAAGTTGCTAGGATGGTAATAAGTTGCTGAGATACCTCCAAGCAGCTTTACAAGTTTACTTTGTTAAACTATGTCCTATGAATTAAGAATTATTAAGTGTTTTGATTGGATGAGGTGAGAAGTGTTTATCTGCATTATGAGGAAACCAAAGAGTGCCCTTTGAGATTTGTCCAATCCCTTCATTTGTTTTACAGATTACATTGTTAAAATAAATATTTACTGAGCACATTCTGTGTGTCAGGCACTGTGCTAAATAATGGGAAATACAGGATACCCTTGAGAGGTTCACAGAAGACAGGGAGACCAAGAACCAGTAAGGTTAGGGAAGTTGCCCAAGGTCATAGGACCTTGTAAAAGAGACTTGAATCTTAGTCCAGTGCTGTTTGCCACAGTGTGAGAAAACTCTTTGACAAAAGTTAATATAAATTAATATTTAAAATGAACTTCTATGTGGAGGCTTCTTTAGCTTCCATAAGAGCCAAGACTTCTCATGAAGCATGTGTTCAATAAGCATTTTACTGAGTGCTTATTGAGTTTACTTCATAAGAAACATACCATATGCTGGGGAAATAAAGTCGTGTTCTAGTAGGGCCAAAAGCAATTTAAACACAGAATCCTGGGCAATGACATATGTACTATTGTAGAGTCATACTCTGGTTGCCACGGTAGCCCAGAAGAGAGGGGGCGAAAGCTGCCCTAAAGGGATTATGAGTTTTGAAGGACAAGTCAGACATTACATGGGCTCTTGACAAGTGGGACATTCCAGGAATGAACAGCATGTGAGTTGCACTTAATGTGATTAATGTTACTAAAAAGAGGATTGACATTTTCTCAGTAGTGTCTGAGAGCAAGATGCCTGATACCTATGGAGACCATGTGTCCAGTTTCAAACATTCAGCTTCTTTGTCCTAAAAATTGGAAGTACCGTGGCAGACCACAGATCTGAGTTTGGGAAATGAGGTATTAAAGCCAATATTTGAGGCAGATCTTTAGGTAGAAAGTGTTGGATTCTCAGATAGGGGATGGGCCTACACATCATTGACATTTCTGACTTCTCACCTCTCAGACATCACTGCATTCCATGGGCTCTTTCTTAGAAGTCACTTAAGACTTCACCTGCCTCCGAGGTGAAAATGAGGCTCATCTCCTGTGTTTCACCCACTCTGAGACATCATTGATTGCAACGTGCATTAATATTTTAGGTACCATTAAGAAAGAAAAATACTGCCATGGAGCCATAACATGATGTTTTCTTGCCTATTAAAAGGTATTTTTAAAATTTTCTGCACATTAAGAAAGATCTTTCAGAGTAATTTAGACATGAGCCTTTATTATAGATCACTTTTGTACATACACAGAAAGGAAATATAAGCAAAATAAAATGATTTAGATATCTCTAAAACTTCTACACAGCATCCTTCTCTTTGAACCACTTCAAATTGGGATCATAGATGTCCGTATCTTTCTATAAAACATCATCCTCTGTGCCATTAAGAGCCATGATTTGCAACGTTTCTTAAGAGTTCCCCACATTCGTCTCTTGGATTTCTTCCCAAGCTGCTGACATTCCTTCTAAAACTTTTAAAGCCGTATGCAGCAAATATCAACTATGTCAAGAACAAAACCTGGCATCAATTGTAAGACTCATTCCTATTTCAGAGATTTTAAAGATGTGTGTCTTAGAATACCTGAAACAACGGTAAGCCAGACCTGAGGTTTCTTAGAACATTATTACGGCTTTAAAACTTAGAAGAAAAAAAGTCCAGAATCCAGAACTTTCCCTCTGACTTTTTACATGGCACCAACCTGTGTCCATCTGCAGAGGTTTCTAACGTGATTTGGCAGCCTCACATCTGTCAGGCCCATGTGAGGTGGGAGCAGGATGACAGCTGCAAGTCAAGCACCGGAGCAAGACCTGCTGCCAAGCACTCTGATTTTAATCCTGTCAGTTAGTGCTTGGCTCCATCCGAAATGTATTCAGGGCTGTGACAGGGTTCTCAGACCCAGTGCCTCCTTTTTACAACAAGGATTTCGGCCTGACAGGGTGGCTCACGCCTGTAATCCCAGCACTTTGGGAGGCCGAGGTGGGTGGGTCACATGGTGGAGAGATTGAGACCATCCTGGCCAACATGGTGAGACCCGTCTCTACTAAAAATACAAAAATTAGCCGGGCGTGGTTGTGGGTGCCTGTAATACCAGCTACTTGGGAGGCTGAGGCAGGAGAATCGCTTGAACCCAGGAGGCGGAGGTTGCAGTGAGCTGAGATTGCACCACTGCACTCCAGCCTGGTGACAAAGTGAGACTCTGTCTCAAAATAAATAAATAATAAAAAATACAATAAGGATTTGGGGACACTGTAGCAGATTGTATCTTCCAAAGATTGCCATAGAATATCTCCTGTCCCACACCATCTTCCAGAACTGTGCTGCTCCTTTATCAAGATTTGGAGCCCAGTCCTCCCACTTCTTGAATTTGTGAGTTTGTGTCTAGTTTGTTACCAATGGAATGTGGGAAAAGTAAAGTTGTGTGACTTATAAGGCTGAGTCAGAAAAGGCCATGCGACTTCCACCTTGCTTGATGGAACATTCATGCTGGAGCCCAGACCTACCATGTAAGCAGTCTCACTGCCATAAGGTGGCCATGCTGTGAGGAAGCCCAAACAGACAACATGGAGAGGCCCTGAGATGATCTGAAGAGAGAGAGACTACTGCTCTCAGTTGAGAGACTACTCAAGCTCCCAGCTACTCGAGCTGTCACCTCCATCTGACTGCAACCATGAATTGCTGTTATTCTAACCCACTAAATTTGGGGATGGTTTGTTATATGACATTGGTAACAGGAAGACTCCCTTTAAGGAGGGGTGTCACTCCCGTGGAAGACAACTGCCTTAGGGACATTAAATCCTCCATGTGACCACCAAGTACACCAACACCAAGGAAAGGCTTCAGGTTCAGAGGCCAGCATTTCTCAGCCACTTACACTCACTGGGGTTCGATTACTCTCTCTCCCTCACCTCTTATCCTCTTCATCACCTCTAAGTCCTGGTATAGAACATTTACATAACTTACCGTCTCTTGGATAAATAAGGAATAACTTCAGTTAGTTCTACAAACTGAAAAAAACTCAAACAGATGATAGTTATTTCCCTATTCGTTATACCCCAGCTTTCTCGTTTGGGTCTCAGCCCCAGCATCAGGGTCTTCAGGGAAGGTAAAATAGTGAAAAGCTACTTCCGGCCCCACTTCACTCCATCCAAGTGTCCAGGGCTGCCAGGCCTCAATGCATAGGCAGAGCTACGTGTTGTGTGGGGCTTGAATCTTTTACAACTCTGGGAACACTTTTTAAGAAAAAGGAAATCAAAATTAGATATGAAAGGAAAGTGATTTAGAATATAAATTCACAACAAATTACAACTTGAAAAAACTAAAAAATCCTACAATCATGAAAAAATCCAGAAAAATAACATAATTAATTACCTAATATGCTCTTATAATATTTTTCTACCTTTTTTTAGTTGCATACTATTTGATTAGTCTTCATATGACAATTTTATGCTATCATTCTACACATGGTGAATTGGAAGTTTATTCAGTTTTCCTCTAGGATGGTAATCAAACTGTGTTTTTAATTACTGATAGTTTAAACAGTTTTTTTTGGTTTCACAACTTGTTATTGGTAACATAATGTAAAGTTTTAAAATTTTTCTCAAATGTTAAAAAAAACTCAAGTTTTTTGTGTTTTTGTTTGTTTTTGTATATGAGCTGTAAGATTAGGAAGAATTTTCCACAGACTAGCTTCTGGCAATATTAATTTCTAGCCTTGTTTCCTTTTTATTATCCTCATAATTCCAGGTTGGATGCCATAGGGCATGCTTCTTTTTTTTTTTTTTTTTTAATTATACTTTAAGTTTTAGGGTACATGTGCACATTGTGCAGGTTAGTTACATATGTATACATGTGCCATGCTGGTGCGCTGCACCCACTAACTCGTCATCTAGCATTAGGTATATCTCCCAATGCTATCCCTCCCCCCTCCCCGCACCCCACCACAGTCCCCAGAGTGTGATATTCCCCTTCCTGTGTCATGCTTCTAACATAACATGGTCTCTGGCCCTGCACCTTTGTGTGAGTTCACCTGGCTTTGTTCTCCCTGCTGTGTGGTGGACATCAGGTGTTTGTGCTATATACTGCCTCCTCCCATACAGATCTTCTTCTCCCCCAGATCTTGATCTGGTGAGACTGGCAATCACAACTCTCCACCCTGCTGGCCACAGAGAGAGCAGAGGGCCCAGTCACACTGCATATTCCAGTCAGCACAGGGGATCCATGCGAGCACACGGCCCAGAGTCAATCAATCAGCCTCTAATCTGATTTTGATCACTTGGGGCTGGGGAAGAGATCTTCCTTCAACTCCACATATTACCCCAAAATGCTTATTGGGATAGGTCCCCACTTACCCATGAGCCCTTTTTTTTTTGTTTTTTTAGATGTAGTAGGGCTGGTTTCTATACACCACAAGAAAAAAATAGTTCCTTTTTATTATTTTTAACTAGTCATTTTATGACCATAGAATACATACATATTGTGCAAGATTCGAACAATATAGAAAGGCATAACAGGAATATTTCAGAGTGTCTGTCCCTGTAATTTATTTCTAGTTTTACTACATGTGGTCCAGAACTTGGTATGTGCTTTATTATTTCTTAGAGGGTGATAGAAGACCAGAGGATTTACTGAGGTTATATATATATATATATACACACTGTAAGTTCAGAGGTTCATGTGCAGAATGTGCAGGTTTGTTACATAGGTATACATGTGCCATGGTGGTTTGCTGCACCCATCAACCTGTCATCTACATTAGGTAGTCCCCCTAATGCTATCCCTCCCCTAGCCCCCCAACCCCCATCAGGCCCCAGTGTGTGATGTTCCCCTGAGGTTTTGTTGTTGTTTGTTTTGAGATAGAGCCTCTCCCTGTCACCCAGGCTAGGGTGCAGTAGCACGATATCGGATCACTGTAACCTTCGCCTCCCAGGTTCAAGCAATTCTCCTGCCTCAGCCTCCTGAGTAGCTGAGATTACAGGTATGCGCCACTATACCCGGCTAGTTTTTTTTTTTTTTTTTTTTTTTTTTTTGTATTTTTAGTAAAGATGGGGTTTCACCATGGTGGCCAGGCTGGTCTCGAACTACTGACCTCAGGTGATCCACATGCCTCGGTGGCATGAGCCATTGTGCTCGGCCTACTGAGGTTTTATAAGGTCCAATAAACGACTAATTTGCTAAATGTTTCCTGACCCTTTAAAATTACATTCACTGCTTGAAGTTACAGAGCTCAATATTTAAGCAAAGTACATTCATTATATTTTTGACTTCTGTGCTGAGTCTGTTTCGAGTATGAAGACAATAGTATCCTTACATCATAAGATTGTTCTAAGGACTCAATATGTTAATACATGAAAAGAGCTTAGAATAGTGCCTGCCACACAGTAGGCATCCCTAAAATGTTAATTGTCATCAGCATCTTCCTTTTTATTCTTTTTCAATACTACATAGGCATACTTACACCTGACATTTTAACTGTCAAACATTGACTGAAAGTATCTTAGCACTCTCTTAATTAATACTATTTTCTTAATTTCTAATAGACTTTGCTGTATATAATCTGAAATTGTTGGTGATTATGTGATTATTGTGGATAATCTCTTGATCAATTAAAGAATTCTAGTGCCTTTGATATTAATATTATGATGATCTCTTACTTTTTTACTGTAATTCCCTGGCATTCTTTCTCATCTTTTCATATTCAGCCAGAATCATATTGTTTTGGTATGTACTTTGAAATAGTAAAATTTCACGAGTCTTACCGTTTTCAGAAATCAAATCCTGCTAATTTCCTCAGCAGAATCACATTTTTATGCTTCTTTCTCCCTCCTCACTACTCACTTTTACTAAAATAAGTGAGAACCTGGGAACTAGCATAAAATCAAATGATTTATTGTTATTTATAAAATATTTATTATGCTCAATATACATATTTCCTTTCAGATGTTAACATATTGTTTGATAGCCATCATTAACACAGTACTTAGCACTAAAATTGTACATAATAGGAGCCACTGCCTCACAGCCAGCCCACAAATTTCCTACAGTTTTCCTGTCGATCAGTTATTTCCTTTGATTCATTCTGTACATTCCTGAAAAACATCTGTATGGTTTTCCAGTAAAACTGCATGAGTAATATCCATGCTTTTGCACTTAAACGTCAATTTAGATAGACATGCAATTTGTGCTGTAGTAAGTGACCTAATTCTCCTACCTTACAAATTTCCTTCACACAAAAAACAGTCTGATGCTTTTTAGTTTTTATCTTTTTGTTCCCCTGAACATAGTGAGTACTGCCCACTTCTGGTGTAGTATCTTGAGTTTAGGGAAGTTTTTGTCCTGTTTCCTCTAAAATGTTGTTCCTGTTACATGTGTTCTGTTAGTATTTTCCTTCTATCACTTAACAAGACTCTGGATTCTCATTGTCTGATCTCTGTATCTATGATATTCTCTTTGGCCATTTTCCTTGTTTTGCACTTTTTCTCTGGGTTCTAGGGGATTTTCTTAAGCCTGGTCTCCATATCAGAGGTAGATTTTCCTGGGGCTGATGATGCTCTTGCTGTTCCTAGGGTAATGTTAAGTTCTCTAACAGAGAGATCCCTCTCCTTAAATTCTTTCTTGGTGTTGCCAGCTGTTCCTGCATGTCTTATCTTTTCTCTCACCTCATTTCAGAGTCCCTGCTCTCCTTAAATGCCCTGAGTAAATACCACTTCTACTCCTTGGAATGAATCTTCCAGAGCATGGTCTTTATCACGTGCATCTGGTGCTCACATCCTCTTCTATTTAACAGACCTATGTTACTTGCTGTTTACTTAAATCAATTAGGGGCAATTCTGCTCTTTTGGTTTCAAACAATTGGGGTCATTCACCTGTTCTCCCTTCCTTGTTTACCTGGCCTTTCCCTACATCCACAACCTAGGACTAGTGCTGGATAATAGGATGTTGTAAACCCATCAGTTCTGTCTTCTAGAGACCTGAAGAAGGTGGGAGGACTGGGACTGTAGGTGAGGGTCTTGGCTGAGTCCAGGAGCTTTCTATACTTGTTGAAAACCCCATCGAGGGGTTGTTATCCTGAGTGGAAAGAGGGAATCCTCTGCCCCCGCATCACCTGGGAATGCCTGTGGTGGGTACATACCCATGGTGAGGGCACAGGCAGCAGCTCCAATCTGCATCTGTGCATCAGGATGAGCAGCACTTTGGTGAAAATGCTAGACACACAAACTCCCTCCATCTGGGAGCTGTTGGTGAGGAGCTTCCTTTTCTTGTTTTATGTCCTTCCCAAAGTCCCTTTGCTATTCTTGCTTTTCGAGTGTAAGAAGGGTTCCTTTGCAAGATTTCATCTCTGCCCAGCTGGCCCCTGTAGACTACCTCTACCCCTAAAGGGAACATAGCCCCTGTAGAGTACCTCTACCCCTAAAGGGAGCCTCATTTGCCCAAGCCAGAAGGGAAGTGGGGAGAAGGCACATGGTTTCTCTTTGTGGGGGCCCTAAGTCCATGGGGGTTTCCCATTTTTCCTTTTTCCTCTGCCCTGCCCATACTCCTCTTCCTCAGAATTGAACATGTTGTAAATAAAATCCCCTACCTGGCTCTTCTATACTTCTCTGATAAGTGCCAAGGTCCAGCATCTTTTACTTTGGTTCAAATTCTGATGCCATCTAATGATTTGTTTACAGACTAAACTTTTTCCTCTAGTTTTGACTCTCTGACACCCGTTTGTGATTCTATTGGAGATAAAGGTTTCAAAAACATTTCTGTGCAACAAACTGAAACTCATATAGGAAACATGCCTTCCCTCTTCTCTTCCCCTCCCCTTGTCTGTTTCACTGGCCGGCTCCCAGCTCTAAGGGTTCCGGTAACTAGGAAAGGAGGAAGTCACTGTTGCCTCAAATGTTCCAGCCCACAGCAGCAGCTTTGCCATATGCCAAGTGACCACAGAGGACTTTGTCTCAGGACAGGGTGGGGCTCAAAGTGTTTTTATTCTGCACCAGCAGAAAAGTGCAATGCTGAGAAGTGGGAACATCTTGCTGATTATGCTGAGAAAGGCAGAAACACGTGTTTGTGGAGAGGCGGCTGGGCCACTCACCTTGCAAGAAACAAAATGTGCTGTGAAGCAGGAAAGTACATAGCATCCTGTACTTTCATACCGCTCAATGCATCTCTGCAAGCTTATCCCAAGTGCTGCCTCATCTGATCTCACCACAGGAATCACAGCAACATTTCAGATAAGGAAAAGGAGGTCAAGGGCTTGGGTCAAAGTCACCACAGCAGTTAGTGGGGGTCAAAGATTGCAATGAGCATTTCTCTTCTTCCTGCCCCAGATGATTGGACTTAACAAGGCCAAGGAAAGCTTAAGTGGGTCATCATCCCTGGCTTTCCTTAAACATCAGCAGGGTGGGAATGGCTAACAGGAGGAGAAACACAGAGTGTGAACTTGTATCACCCCCCACCTGCCTACCCAGAGACTGTCTATGTGAGTGAGATGAACACAAACCCCAGTACAGTGAAACACTTTTATGAAGGCTGCCTGAGAGGTAATCTACTGACTTGGAGAGTATGTTCAAGGGATCATATAGGAAAGTCATGGGCTCTTCCCCACGCAACCATCTCCAGAGACCTAAATAAAAAGCAAATTTAATACGAATAAGTGGACAGATGAGCTGCCCAGTAGGCAGGCACTGAGAGACTGATCAGTGGGATACTCAAGCAGAGTGAGACAGAGCGGAACCTTCCAAGTGGTATTAGTGTTGACCTGGATTACATCCCATAATGAGTTCTGGATCCAGAATTACCTGAGGGAAGGGGTCTGTTAGCAGTGCCATAAAGGGTCAGTGGCTCTGATCTCCCAGGCGTCAGGGTCCCTTGCAGAGATGACTGAGAACCAAGTGCACAAAGCACAGATGAAGCTGCTACAGGCTGGAACCCCAGGGGCCACTGGAATGTCCATTTCCTGCAGCCTGCCTATACTGAGGTTTAATCTAGATAACGTTTGACAAAAGGGTCAGGGTAAGATTAGGAGATGATAATTAACCTCTAGGAGTCTACCTCATTGTACAGCTGCTCCCCCACTGGGTACTCCCATTCTTCTAAGACCAAGGGCTGCCAGTGGGACCCACACTGCTCTGCATCAAGCTTCCAGACCACTGCCCACCCTCCCTTCCTCAAAAGGCTCTCACCTGGGAGATGCTATCCTGTCATGCCTGCTTTCCCCTCTGGCAGGTGCCACTGGCCTTGTGGCCACTCCTCTTGTTCACCAAGGATGCTGACTCCTAGGTCACACCATTCTCCTCAACATCTGTCGGTTTCTTGCTTCAGCACCCATGTGGAGGCTCACCCTGCCCTCCAGCCTCGCCAACCCTAGATTTCACTTCTTAAGGCTCCTCCCTGGCTCTGGCCAGCAACCCCAGGTCATACCCTCTATTTTGCCTTTACCTGAGATTGCTCCACCTCTCAATTTCCAAAGCACTCCTGTCTGGCTCAAATATACCTCCCTGCCCAACCCCTCACCATGCTGGAGTTTCTATCTTGTCAAGACCTCTAATTTCCTAATCCCTCCCTAGTCACCTCCTGTTTTCAATTCCAATTTCTTGGTCAGATTAAACCTTAGACTGCACATTTCATCACTACAATTTCTCCTGTGTATGTCTTCTGAACTGACCCATCTTTCTCTCAACTCCTTTTACTTCCCTGGCAAAACCCCAACACTGCAGTAAGTGTACCCATCCCAGCTCCTGAATCCTGATGAGGGGAAGACAGGTGTGTGCAGAGCCCCACTCAACACACACACACCTGAGTGCCCAGCATCCTACTCTAAACTGACCATCTCAGAGCTCAGCCTTGCCCTGCCCTTCTGCTGTTGCCTTAATCAACCTGTTTTCCAACACCTAGGAAAACATCTACTTCATACCTTCTGAGAACACACTCCACCCACAACTAGCTGATAGTCTCACTTCATTTCACAAAGAAGAGATTCAAACTCCTTCATCATTTCCCCATTAATTTAGTCATCCTAATCTTCTATACTTGCCCCTTTCTGTTTTATTGAGCCATATGAGGCTGCAGGACTGTGTCTCTTCCTACAAAGGTCCCATCCCTCCTTCTTTCTCATGGACTCTGCTCCTTCAGGGGTCCTCCTCTTTGTGCCCCTCCCATCTCTCTCATCACACCATCTTGACTGTTGCCATCAATATTGGCATGCTCTACCTCCCATCTTAAACATGCCTTGACTCCATAGCTCTCTATTATTAACCTGAGCCCCTTGAAGGCCAACTTCTCACACGTTCTACTCCCCAACTTTCCATTCACTCAACCAGTACAGCCTGCCTTCCATACCGCCCTTCCTGAAACTGCTGCCATCATAGTCATCAAACACTTCATGTTACTGAATTCAATGGACAGTTTTGCCTCTGTTTTAGTGAAACCCTCACAAGCACTCTGCATAGTCCGCTTTCTGTCTTCTTTAACGTGCCTGGTTCCCTCTGCCCAAACTTTTAGGATTGGGCCTCCTCAGGGCCTTGTCCTGAGCCCTCTTCTTTTTCTCTCTCCATGGATTACCTCCTCCAGTCTATGTTTTTATACCACCTTTATGTAGATGAAGTGAAGGCAGGGTGGTGCTAGACTGGGGTGGGTCAATTCCCTTCTGATAGTCTCGGAGTCTCAGGCATCCCAAAGATGAAAGCTCTAGAGGAGAGACACCAGTCCTCACAGGACTCATGTCCATGCTCAGTCCAAGGAGACCTAGCCACTTCCTTACCCTTCCTGCTCAGTTTCAGAAGAAAAGGATTGGGGATTGGTTGGGCTGCTCTCCCACCTTTTAAGAGCCAACTGCTTTGGTCACCACTCAAGACAAGAGCAAGTCTATTTTCAGAAAGCACAGGGGGTGCTCTGTTTCTCTATCCTCCCTAACAAATAGGCTGGGCTAGACCCTGGAGGGCAACCATGGAGGAGTGTGGGAAGGATTCACCCTTGCTTCAGAAGCTCCTTGCAATCAGGGACCAGGGTAGTGTGACAAATGCCACTTCAAGGTTAAACTGGACATGACCAGGGGAAGGTGTCAGGCTGTGTGTTGTTACAGATTGTATATTTGCATGCCTGGGGGTTACCAGGCTGTACGCATATAAACAGGGAGGAGGCAGGCTCTGAGAACCTGCCAGGGTGCCTGGGATAAGCTGTGACTTTTTGCCCCTGATGCCATAAGTTGGAGGGTCCTCTGCTCAAAACATATGGTACACACTTCTCCTTCTTTTCATCTGGTATCATGTATCATCTCTCAGATCCAATAAGAAAACATTCCCACGTCCTTCCCTCCCTCCCTAGTACCAAGGTCCTCATCTCAGTTTTCATGGGTCCATGGAGGGCTGCCTCTAGTGATGAGCTGGAATCTTAAGGCCTGAAATAGAGCCAGACTGCAGCAGTCCCAAGTCCTGGAGAGCTTCAAGTAACTGCTCCCGCGCAGAGCCAATAAAGGAATTCTCCAGGAAGGTAGGCAGGCCTCCTACACCATCCCGCAGGGTATACAGGGGCACTCGCACCAGGCCCAGCACCTGTAAAAGGAAGGAGACAGGAGACACTAGGGCCCCAGGTGGCTCATTCCCTTAACTCCATCCTTTCTCCAGCAGATCAGGCCTCACCCCTTAATACTCCAGCAGAACCAGGCCCAAGGCTCACACCTCACTAAAGCCTAGTGGCCCAACCTTCTGCAGGAAAATGACCCAAAACATATTATCTAGCTCTATCAATTAATCTTTCCCACATCTGCTTCTAAACCTCTAGTGGCTACTGCCTCAAAGATGTATTCATACCCTTTCACCAGTGGTTGTCAAAATGTGGTCCTCAGATTATTTGCATCAGCATTATTTGGGAACTTTTGAAAACTACAAATTCTCAGGTTTCCTCTCCCCCCGCCCCACCACCAATGCAGGAATGCTGAGAGAAATCGCTATTTTAATAAGACGCCCCGATGATTCTGCTACCTGCCAAATTTTGAGAACCACCTTCATACATAATCTATCTACTAGCCCTGCCTGAAATATCAGGGCCACATCTCCTACACAAGAAAAGCAAACCCCAAGAATAAAACCTAGGTTGCCACACCTAGATAATGTGATAATCTATCACACTGTCAATAGGGAACAGCAGAGAGACATGGATGAGTGTGTTCTAGAAAGGATCTCTCCTGGTAAAGGGTGGGAAAGACCTTTACAGAAAGCCCAGGTTGGCAGTACTAATTCAGAGTATAGATGATCACGATCCCAACTCCACCAAGAAAGCTGGGGAGAGGGCAAGGTCAGAGGGGCAAAGACTTTTCTCCAGGGATGCTTTCTTGGGGGAGAGAAAGCTTTGGGAGAAGAGGAAATTGGGAAAGGGACAGAGTCCCAGGCTGGTCCCACCTCCAGCCCGTGGTCCTTGGCGCGTGTTGCGCCGGCCTCCACAGCCAACAGCTCCTCGAGCGTCAGACGCTTGGCATAGAAGTGGGCCACAACGCGTGGCCCTGACCCGACGTGGGAGCTGCGGTAGTCAGTGCGCTCCACGCGGAAAGCGGCAGCCGCTTCGCCCAGCTCCTCGCGCAGCTCGCGGTTCAGCCCGTCCTCTAGGCTTCTGTCCTGCGTGTCCACGAATCCGCCGGGGAAGCCCAGGCGTCCATCGAAGCGCATCTGCATCTGCGGGAGGGGGAAGCGGGGATTGGCAGGGGCGCCCCAGAGGAGACCACCAGAGAGGGTGCGGGGCTCAGGCAGAAAGTGGCCGGGCGCGCCCCCTTCTCACCAGTATGGCGTAGCGCAGCGGGATGCGGCCGAAGAGCATCCCAGGGTCCGGCGCGTAGAGGAGAGCGTGGCACGCATGACGCCAGCCCGACCCCAGCGCCAGGGCCTCGCCTAGCTCCAGCCTGCGGGCTCCGGCCATGGCCGGACACTGCTCCTCTGCTGTCCCGAAGGCCCAATGGGCAGAGGGGCGGGTCTCACCTCGGACCAATCCGAGCCTGGGCGGTGCTGCAAGGCCCAATCCCTGCAGGGATAAGGGGAGGAACCTAGGCGCCTGGGGGCGGGGCGCCGCGACCGGTGCGGGAGGCAGCTAATCAGGGCGGGGCTTGCAGACCGGGTTGAAGTCCAGGGCCCAGGAACCCTAGGGTAACCGAAAGCAGCCTCTGGGTTGGGCCTGCGGTGGGGCGGGGCTAGAGGTGTGGCCGCGCCCTAAACCTGGCGCAAGGCCGGTACCTAAAGGCTCCTGGGAGCCAAAAGAGCAAGTCAGGGAACTAGCTTTGGTTGGGTTCGGTGGTACACAAAGCACAAGGCCTGGGTTGGGGTTAGGAGGAAATGAGACTTGCGGCGGGTCGGGGCTGAAGATGTGGCAGCGCCCTGAACCTGGAGAAAGGCTGGTACGTAAACGCCTGCGTCGCAATCTGGAGTCAGCTGGAGTGTCCCGGCAGGTGAGGAAGAGCTGGGGCGCTCAGTTGAGTGCTGGGAGCCAAAGAAGTAATAACTACCTTTGGTTGGGTGTGGTGGTACACAAAGCACAAGGCCTGGGTGGGGGTTAGGAGGAAATGAGGCAGGGTTGGCCTCAGACACCAAGGCCTATCCTAGGGAAATGGAGATGGACAGGCGCCATGGTCTGACAACTATCTTGAGTGGTGAAATTGAGGGGACTTGGTGACTGAGTGAATGGGGAAGAGGGAGCGCTGGGCTAGTGGTGGTTCCGAGTTTCCTGGATGTGGTGTCATTTTCTGAGAGGGGGAGAGTAGGAGAAGGGTGAGCAGTGATAAGTGTAGTTCTAAGGAATTGGGGTGGCCATAGGCAGTGGGCAGCTGATCGTGGGGGTCTGACGCACAGGGAGTGGCACATAGAGAAGTCACAGGGCAGTGAGATTTTCAGGGGAAGGGTGGGGGTGGAAGGAGCTGTGAGTGAAATCCTGTGGCACAGGACTGGGAGTGAGGAGGGGTGAGAGATAGAAGAAGCCTCCTAGGCTTTCTAGTCTTTCCCTCAAACCCCCTCAGACCTCTGAGCTATGAAGGAGGGTGGGTTACCCTACCACAAGGGCAGAGGCCTACTCAGGGCCTGATGCTGAGATGCAGGATCCCTCACTCCAGGCCAGGCCTTCCCCACCCTGCAGAGCGCCCCTACACCAGGTGTCGATATTGATTATGCAATAGAAAGCAGGAGGCAGCTCCTTGAGGGGGGCTGGGCATAAACTCACAGCCTGTAAGTGACGGCATATGGTGGGAAAGAGTCCGGACCCACCCAGAAACAGGTTTGTGACCTTAACAAGTCACTTAACTCTCTCAGATCCCAGCAGCTCATCTGTTAAGTGGAGATGATACCAACCTATTAGGGATGTTGAGATATGTTAGGCACTTAGAACAGTGCCAGGCAGAAAGTAAATGTAGCCATTCTTGGAGTTGAGGGTTGGGGCACAGTGCTATGTCTTACGTTGAGGAGCCAGGGCTGGGCACATACCTATAATCCCAGCACTGTGAGAGGCGAGGTGAGAGGATCATTCAAGGTCATGAATTTGAGACCAGTCTGGGCAACATAGCGAGACCCCGTCTCTACAAAAAATAATAATAATAAATAAAGACCCAAGTGTTGGAACTGAGCTGCACTCATCACGCTCCAGTGTTTGAAGGAGGGATGAGCTGTATGACATCATCTTTCCTAGCTTAGTCTTCTGCGTTGTGGGGCAGGGATATTATCTAATAACATGAAGCAACTGCATTAAAGTGATGAGTCTGTAGGTGTGATACAATTGTCACTGGCCTGCTAGAGTTCCAGGGGGTTTGGAAATAGCCCTGCTTTAACATTAGAGTCACCTCGCAAAAAGCTTCTAAAAATTTTTAAAAGCTGCCACTTTTTCCTACCACAGACCAGTTGAATCAGAATGTATGGGGTCCTACAGGGACATATGCGGTTTTTAAAATATGTTTTAGGTAACTAATAACCAGGGTGGAGAACCGGGGCCTTCCCCCTTCCACTAGCATTCCAAAGGCGACTTGGTTTTTCTCCTAGATAGGCTACCTTTAATGATTTAGGATCAAACATGCCCTTTCCAGATCTTCAAGCTGTTCTTTCTTTCCTGGTTACTTGAGACTTTAAAGATGGACTTTTCAAGATGACTTCAAAGATTTCAAAGGCAACATGAAAAACTGTAAAACCAAGGCAACAGCTGTACGAGTTTTCATGATTTTGGAGACCAGAGCTTTTTCTAGATGAATATGATGAATATGGAAGTCCTTTAGAGCCCCCAACCTTGCCATCCCTTTCAAATCCTTCTCTGCCTCTGCCCCACCCCCACCAACCATCCCCCATTCCACTATCCTAAGGCAGAATGCCCAGGACTCAAGGCTGCAGGTAGAGGGCTGAGCCATGTACCTAAAGAGCTGTTCCAAGTTCATAATGGTACCTGGAACCAAAAATAACTCTGTAGTCAGCATGGGAAGATTCTAGAAAACCAATCTATTATTTTAAAAATAATAATGAAAAGAACTAAGCATTTATCCTGCCTTTTTTATATGAGCTCTTCCTCAGGGCCACCAAATAGTTAATGAGAGGAAATTTATTTCACAAAGTATTCCAGGTAATCAAAGAGGAAGGACAGAGCCAATCAAAATTTTAACATTTGTTAAACTTTAAAGAATTAATGGAATCTAGGGAATGATCATCATTGGTTGCTAACATCATGAATAGACAGTTGTTATACACATTGTGATAAAAGAGCACACTACCTCCTTTGGATTATCTCTGCCAAAATATTGAACTGTCATCTTGATCTAACAATTTATAAGAAATTCAAAGGAATACCTATTTAAAATATTAGGAAGAGACTAGAATGATCTATGTAGTAATAGATTAGAGTTTGAAACATCAGTATGAATTCATTTTTAGCTTGATGTAGATATGGCTATATATATACACATACATACATGCACACATATATGTATACATACAAAGGTTAGTGTGCACAGATATTTCCTTCCTCTGTCAGCTGAGTGGGCTTAGAAGCAATGATATTCCAGTAGCAACAAACACACCAACTGCCACATTTTGGTTTCTAATACCATTTTCCATAAAAGGAATCAAAGCCCTTTGGAGAAATGGCTGATTCTAACATTGGGCCAGGAAATATGCAACATGGATATACAATAAGCCTAAAGCATCTTGTGATGCCAGAAATTAAGGAAGTTCACCAAATAAAAAAGGACAAAAATCGATACTGATGGAGGTATATCAAAGAAACAGAGACACAGGGACCAGCTGAAAAAGTTCCTAGTGGCCAAAGCTGAAAGAATTTGAGCAACAAAATAAGTAGTATTGGATTATAACTTGAAGTATCAAATAAATATCTACAGGCCCATACTGATAATACAAATAAATAATGAAAATGTGTTAGTAAATAAATGGAGGAGAAGAGAAAAATATCCCGTGCAGAAGAACTGGAAATAATTCATGTAGCTACTCTGCCCTCAAGGAGGTGGAGCATAGCTCCCCACTCCTTGTGGGTTGTGAATAATGACTTCCTTCCAAAGAGTACAGTAAGAAAACAGGAGAAGAAAGGAGTAACTTTGTGGAGAAACCTGACAAACACTACCTTGAACACGTGATCAAGGTCAAAATCATCATTGACAAGTCATGTTGGTAGAATGCACCCTTAATATGAAGTAATGAAAATGGTACTTTTGTCTGTGGTTTTCCCTCAAAAAGATATAATCCCTCTCTAACCATGAGAAAAGCACCAAGCAAATCCCAGTGAAGGGACATTCTACACAATACCCAACCAGTAAGCCTCAAAATTGTTATTGTCTTAGTCCATTAGGGCTGCTGGAACAAAATACCACAGATTGGGTGGCTTAGAAACAACAAATACTTGATTTCTCCCAGTTCTGGGGCCTGAGAAGTACAAGATCCGGGTACTGGTAGATTGGGTGCCTACTGAGGGTCCACTTCTGGGATCATAGAAGATAGTCTTGTGCTGAAACCTCATGTGTGAGAAGGGGTGAGGGAGCTCTCTAGAGTCTCTTTTATAAAGTCACTAATTTCAGTCATGAGAGCTCTGTCCTCATGACCTAATAACTTTTCAAAGGCCCTACTTCCAAATACCAACACAATTGGAGTTAGGATTTCAACATAAGAATTTGAGAAGAAAAATATTCAGTCTATAGGAATCATGAAGTATAATGAAAGTCTGAGAAATTCTCACAGCAAAGATGAGCCTAAGAACACATAACATGTCTAAATGGAATGTGGTATCCTGGAGAAGAAAAAGGACATTAGAGAAAAACTAAGGAAATCTGAATAAAGCATAGATTTTGGTTGACGATACTGTATCAAAATTGATTTATTATTATAAGAAATGTTTTATAATAATGTAGATGTTAATTATAGGGTAAAGTAGGTAGAGTGTATGGGAACTCTGTACTATTTTTATAAATTTTCTGTATATGTAAAACTTCTAAAAAATAGGTTTGTTTTAAATCAGGAGAATACAAACAGTGAAATATAAACTGAACAAAAATTTAAAGGAAAAATGACCTGATTTATTTAATAAATAAATTACAAAGGGAAAAAAGGCATGGTGGCAGAATCTATACATTAAGAGATTGAGAAAACATATCAATTGAAGCAGTTGGTTTATTTGATTCCTAATTTGTCCAAACAAACTTAGTGATCATTGTTTGAGGTGCTAATAGTATGGTGGCTGTTTTGTTAGGGTTCTTTATCTGTTAGAGATACATACTAAAACATTTGTGAATGACATGATAAAAATAATTCAATGAAGGGGCAGAGGCTGAAGTTATAGTAAAATTGGCCATGAATTGATAATTTTTGAAGCTGGGTGATGATGGATCTATTAAGGACTTATGTTATTCTGCTTACTTTTACTTTTATATAGCTTGATGTTTCCATAGTAAAAAGTTAAAAATAAAAAGATCTTTGGCATCTCATGAAGTAAAGGTAAAAGTTGTCATTTACACTTGAATAAAACTTTGCATTTCACAAAATTCTTTCACAGAATCCCTTTGGTCAAGGAGAGGGAGAGAGAGGTAAGGGTCTGGTCTTACTTTTTAAGCAGGAAGAAGACTACAAACCACCATCTACCATCTGCCAGGTAATTTTAAACCAGTCCACTTAATCCCCATCAGATTTTCCAGATGCTTTGAATGCAGAGCTAAGGTTGAGAACCACTGATTTAGACAAATATACTATGGGAGAAGGGGAAGGAGGTTCCACCAGCAGAGAGCAACCAGCTAGAGCCATTTGGGGCTTATCACAAAAGACTTCTTGTCAGGGAAATTCACCTATTGAGAGACATTTTGGTTGTTTCCAATTCTGGGCCATTGAAAAGAATGCTAATAAGCAAAGCCCCTCTTCTGCTATGAAAGTAACAGTGGGCAGATATTCCCTCTCTGGCCCTTGGGTAACTGAAAGGAGGCTTATAACCAAAGCACAGCCAGTGAGATGCTCCTGCTCAGGATGTTGATTTTGGAGAAGTGACACAAGGTATATGATCAGAGTTAAGGGTTCAGTAGGCCAGTAATGAGTGCCAGTGGTGTTGGTTCCAGTAGCACAATGGTAAGTATCCAGTTTAGAAGGCTCGGGTGGCAGCATCCTAAGCCCACTATCCCTAGCGAGATGCTGGCTGTGCCTCACCAACCCTCATCCCTGCCTCATCCTTGTTCTCCAGCTTCCCATTAAAACTGTGAGCTTCCTAATACCTTTCCAATAAATTAAATTTTGTCATAAATATACCATAATCCATTTCTATTGTTTCTTTCTTTTTTTTTCTTTTTTTTTTTGAGGCAGAGTCTTGCTCTGTCACCCAGGCTGGAGTGCAATGGCACAATCTTGGCTCATGGCAGCCTCTACTTCCCAGGTTCAAGCAATTCTCCTGCCTCAGCCTCCTGACTAGCTGGAATTACAGGTGCATGCCACCATGCCCGGCTAATTTTTGTGTTTTTAGTAGAGATGGGGTTTTGCCATGTTGGCCAGGATGGTCTCGAACTCCGGACCTCAAGTGATCCGGCTGCCTTGGCCTCTCAAAGTGCTAAGATGACAGGCGTGAGACACCGCACCCAATGATTTCTATTGTTTCTATCCAAGAACATTGATGAGTATATGAGGACAAAAATACTAATCAAAAAGTCACATACAAATGAATGATTTGAATTGGCAATGAGTGACTTGAAGAAAAGGTACATGGGTGAAATTAATCTGGTCTGGAAGGTCAAAGTATAAAGAATGCTTCCCTTAGGAAATGACACTAAAACTGAGACAGACTCAAAGTTAATGAGGTAAAACGTGGAGGGGTGGAGCGGTGGGAGGGTGATGGGTAGTAACAAGGGGAAAGAAGAGTGGGAAATGCAGCGCCAGTAGCCTGAGATCAAAATGGCTTTCTTAGCTCTGGTTGGTTTGGAGGGTAAGAAACTAAAGAGGAGGTGATTGAAATGCAGGTGACACATCTCAATGGAATATTATGATCCTTGTGGAGACTGCATAGTACCATGGAGCAAGTATTATGGTTGAAGATAGTAGACCTGTAGTTCATACACCAAAGAATTAAGGAATCACGCATGCCTATTGGAACAAAAGGGTAGGTAGGTAGAATACCTGGCCTTGTTTTTCCCCCTGCGGCGGACATCAGGTGTTTGTGCTATATACTGCCTCCTCCCTTAGAGAACTGCTGCTTCCCCAAATCTTGATCTGGTGGGATTGCCAACCACAGCTCTCCACTCCCCTAGCCACAATGAGGGCAGAGGATCCAGGCCTGACCAGTCAGACCACATATTCCAATCAGCACAGGGCAATCCATGTGAGCACATGGCTCAGACTCAGGCAGGCAGGCTCTGCTCTGATTTTGTTCATTTCAGGCTGGAGAAGAGATCTTTCCTCAACTCCACAAATTACCCCAGTATTCTTCCTGGGATGGATCCTTGCCCACCCATGAAT
Organism: Homo sapiens; assembly: GCF_000001405.40. Taxonomy (NCBI): domain Eukaryota; kingdom Metazoa; phylum Chordata; class Mammalia; order Primates; family Hominidae; genus Homo; species Homo sapiens. The sequence continues at coordinate 131,374,773 of NC_000003.12, read as the reverse complement.
CCTTTTTTGTTTTGCTTTTTGATTTATTAGGGCTACTTTCTGTATACATATAAGGAAAAAATTTTTTACTTTTTAACTGTTGTTTTATGACCATAGAATACATACATATTGTATAAGATTCAAACAATAAGAAAACACATAAAGAAGACCATTTCAGAGTTTCTATCCCTGTCACATATTTCTAGTTTTACTAAATGAGGTAGTCTAGAACAATGTGATCTATGATTTCTGAGAGGGACTAGAAGATTCGAGAAGATTTGCTGAGGTTTGATAAGGTCCAATATATGGCTAATTTGGTAAATGCTTCCTGAGCCCGTAAAGATATATTCTCTGAAGTTCCAGAGTGCAATATTTATCTGTTAGGCAAAGTATATCAATTACATTTTTGGCCTTTGTGCTGGGTCTATTTGGAGTATAGAGATAATAGTATCCCTATATCATAAGGTTGTCCTAAGGACTAAATATGTTAATACATGAAAATAACTTATAATAGTGCCTGCCACACAGTAAATATCCCCCAAATGTTAATTGTTTTCATCATCATCGTCATTTTTATTCTCTTTAGATCCAGATATGCATACTTAGAAGCTGACATTTTGGCCAGGTACGGTGGCTTACGCCGGTAATCCCAGCACTTTGGGAGGCTGAGGCAGGCGGATCATGAGGTCGGGAGATCGAGACCATCCTGGCTAACACGGTGAAACCCTGTTTCTACTAAAAATACAAAAAAATTAGCCAGGTGCGGTGGTGGGTGCCTGTGGTCCCAGCTACTTGGGAGACTGAGGCAGGAGAATCGCTTGAACCTGGGAGGCAGAGGTTGCAGTGAGCGGAGATCGCACCACTGCACTCCAGCTAGGCAACAGAGCGAGATTCCATCTCAAAAAAAAAAAAAAAAAGCTGACATTTTATCTGTCAAACACCAAAGGAAGTGTGTTTGCACTCCTCAATCTATTTTATTAATTTCATCCTACATTTGCAGATCATGCTATATATAATCTGAAGTTGGTGGTAATTATATGATCATTGTAGATAATCTTCTAGTCAATTAAAGAATTCTAATGCATTTGACATTCAATTTTGATATTAATATTATGATGATTTCTTACCTTTGACTGTAATTCCCTGACATTCTTTCCCATTCTTTCATATTCAGCAGAATCTATTGCTTTGATATGTCCCTTAAAGTAGTAAAATTTCACAAAGACTCTTATCATCTTCAAAAACTAAATCATGCTACTCATCCCCTCAGCATAATTAGCACATTTTTATTCTTCTTCCCCATACTCCCTATTATCTAATTTTCATGGAATGACCTAGAATTGTGGGGCTATCATGTTAATCAAATTATTTTTTATATTACATACATTTCCATGTATTGGTAACATATTGATAGCCATAACACAGTAACTTAGCATTAAATTTGTACATAATAGGACCCGCTGCCTCACAACCAGCTCACAGATTTCTTACACAATTTTCCTGATCAGTTAGTTACTTTGATTCATTTTGTGCATTCCTGAAAAACACCTGTATGGTTTTCCAGTAAATCCAAGCATACCCATGCTTTTGCACATCAATTTAGATAGACATGCAGTTTGTGCTGTAGTAAGTGGCCTAATTCTCCTACCTTACAAATGTTTTTCAATGAAAAACATTCTGAAGTTGTTTTTTAGTTTTTATCTTTTTGTTCCCCTGAACATAGTGAGTACTGCCCACTTCTGGTGTAGTATCTTTTGAGTTTAGGAAACTTTTCTTCTTGTTTCCTCTAAAATGTTGTTCGTGTTACATGTGTTCTGTTAATATTTTTCTTCCATCACTTAACAAGACTCTGGATTCTCATTGTCTGATCTCTATATCTACGATATTTTCTTTAGCCATTTTCCTTGTTTTGCACTTTTTCTCTGGATTCTAGGGGATTTTCTTAAGCCTGGTCCCCACATCAGAGGTAGATTTTCCTGGGGCTGATGATGCTCTTGCTGTTTCTAGGGTAACGTTAAGTTCTCTAACAGAGAGATCCCTCTCCTTAAATCCTTTCTTGGTGTTGCCAGCTGTTCCTGCATGTCCTATCTTTTCTTTCACCTCATTCCAGAGTCTGTGCTCTCCTTAAATGCCCTGAGCAAATACCGCTTCTACTCCTTGGAATGGATCTTCCAGAGCATGGTCTTTATCACGTGCATCGGGTGCTCACATACTCTTCCATTTTGTAGTATTTCTGGAACAGACCTATTAATATTACTTGCTGTTTACTTAATCAGAGGCAATTATTCTGCTCTTTTGCTCTCAAACCATTGGGGTCATTCACCTGTTCTCCCCTCCCTGTTTACCTGGCTTTTCCCTACATCCACAGCCTGGAATTACAGGATGTTGTAATAACAGGATGCTGGATAACAGGATGTTGTAAACCCATTGGTTCCGTTTTTCAGATACCTGAAGAAGGTGAGAGGACTGGGACTGTGGGTGAGAGTCCTGTTTGGGATTTGTTTATCCAGGAGCTTTTTATACTTGTTGAAAACCCCACCCAGGGGTTGTTATCCTGAATGAAAGGAGGGTATCCTCTGCCACAGCTGAGAATGCCCATGGTGAGTTCCTAGGTGGGGAGACAGGGGTGCAGCTCAGATTTAAATCAGGATAGCAGCACTTTCGTGAAAAGCCTAGGCACACAGACTCCCTTCATCAGGGAGCTGTTGGTGTGGAGCTTCCTTTTCCTGTTTCGTGTCCTTCCCAAAGTCCCACTGCTATTCTTGCTTTTGGAGTGTGAGTGCTGCCTGTGAGAAGACTTCTTCTCTGCCCAGCTGGCCCCTGCAGACTGCCTCCAGCCCTAAGGGGAGCATGAACTGCCTCATTTGCCCAAGTCAGAAGGGAAGCGGGGAAGCAGGGAGAAAGCACATGGTTTCTCTCTGCTGGGGCCTTAAGTCCATGAGGGAGTTTCCCATTTTACATTTTTCCTCTGCCCTGCCCATACTCCTCTTCCTCAGAACTGAACATGTTTTAAATAGAATCCCCCAACCTGAGTTCTTCTGCACTTCTCTGTCTAAGGGCCAAGGTCCAGCATTTTTACCCTGGCTCAAATTCTGATGCCATCCAATGATTTGCTTACAGACTAAATTTTTCCCCCATTTTTGACTCCCCCACACCCGTTTGTGCTTCCATTAGAGATAAAGGATTTCAAAACATTTCTGTGAAATAAACTGAAACTGAAACATGGCTTCCCTCTTCTCTTCCCCTCCCTTTGTATGTTTCACTGGCCGGCTCTGAGCGTCCAGGTAACTGGGGAAGGAGGAAGTCACTGTTGCCTCAAATGTTCCAGCCGAGAAGTAGCAGCTTTGCCATATGCTGGGTGACTTTGTCTCAGGACAGTGTGGGGCCAAAGTGTTTATTCTGCACCAGCAGCTAGCAGACTCAAGGGAAAAGTGCAATGCTGAGAAGTGGGAACATCTTGCTAATTACAATGAGAAAGGCAGAAATATGTGTTTGCGGGGAGGCAGCCGGGCCACTCACCTTCCAAGAAACAAAACGTGCTATGAAGCAGGAAGCACACACGGCATCCTGTACTTTCATATGGCTGGATGCATCTCTTCAAGCTTATCCCAAGTGCTGCCTCTCTAACCTCACCACACGAATCACAGCAACATTGCAGATAAGGAAATGGAGGTCAAGGGCTTGGCTCAAAGTCACCACAGCAGTTAGTGGGGGTCAAAGATTGCAATGAGCATTTCTCTTCTTCCCGCCCCAGATGATTGGACTTAACAAGGCCAAGGAAAGCTTAAGTGGGTCCTGATCCTTGGCTTTCCTTAAACCTCAGCAGGGTGGGAATGAGTAAGAGGAGAAGTATAGAGTGTGAGCTTCTATCGCCCACTGCCTGCCTACCCAGGGACTGTAAGGTCTAGGTGGTGAGATGAACTCAAAACTGACAACAATTAAACACTTTTATGAAAGCTACCTGAGAAGAAATCTACTGACTTGGAAGTTACGTTCAAGGGATCATACAGGAAAGTCATGGGCTCCTCAGCCATCTCCAGACACCTAAATAAAAAACAAATTTAATAAAAGGGACTGATCACTGGGATACTCAAGCAGAGTAAGACTGAGTGCTGTAAAGGAACCTTCCAAATGGTATTAACGTTGACCTGGATTACATCCAGAATGAGTTCTGGGTCCAGAATTGCCTAGGACCGGATCCTCAGGCAAGGGATCTATTAGCAGTGTCATCAATGGTGAGTGACTCTGATCTCCCAGTCTTCAGGGTCCCTTGCAGAGATAACTGAGAGCCAAGTGCACAAAGCACAGATGAAGCTGCTGCAGGCTGGGACCCCGGGAGCCACTGGAATGTCCATTTCCTGCAGCCTGCCTATACTGAGGTTTAATCTAGATAACGTTTGACAAAGGGGTCATGGTGACATTAAGGAGAAGAAGGTAATTTACCCCACCAGGAGTCTATCTATCTACCTAATCTGTACAGCTGTTCCCCCACCAGCCACTCCCATTTTCCCAAGACCAAGGGCTGCCAGTGGGAACCACATTGCTCTGCATTTAGTTTCCAGACCACTGCTTACCCTCCCTTCCTCAAAAGGCCCTTGCCTGGAAGGCACTATCCTGTCATGCTTGTTTTCCCCTCTGGCAGGTGCCACTGGCCTTGTGGTTCACCAAGGACACTGGCTTCTAGGTCACACTATCCTCCCCAACATCTGCCCTCTAGTCTGGCTAACCCCAGATCTCACCTCTTAAGCCTCTTCCTCTGGCTCTGGCCAGCAACTCCAGGTCATACCCTTGACTGCCTTTTCCTGAGATTGCTCCACCTCTCAATTTCCAAAGCACTCCTGTCTGGCTCAAATACACCTCCCCACCCAGCCCCTCACCATGCTGGAGTTTCTACCTCGTCAAGACCTCTAATTTCCTAATCCCTCCCTAGTCACCTCCAGTTTTCAATTTCCATCTTGGTCAGATTAATCCTCAGACCACACATTTCATCACTACAGTTTCTCCTGTGCATGTCATCTGAACTGCCCCATCTTTCTCTCACCTCCTATACTCCCCTGGCAAAACCCCAACACTGCAGTAAGCATCTCCATCCCAGATCCTGAATCCTAATTGGGGGAAGACAGGTGCATGCAGATCCCCACTCAACACACACACACCTGAGTGCCCAGCATCCTACTCTAAACTGAGCATCTCAGAGCTCAGCCTTGCTCTGCCCTTCTGCTGTTTCCTTAACTTGCTTTTTCACACCAAAGTGAATGTTTACTTCATACCTTCTGAGAACATGCTCCACCCACAGCTAGCTGATAGTCTCACTTCATTTCACCAAGAAGAGATTCAAATTCTATCATCTTCCCATCAATTTAGCCATCATAATCCTCTATGCGTGCCTCATTCCTGTTTTCCTTGAGCCCTGTTACGCTGCAGGCCTGTCCCTCCTCCTACAAAGGTCCCATCCCTCCTTTTTTCTCATGGACGATGCCTCTTCAGGGGTCCTCCTCCTGATCACCCTCCCATCTGTTTCCTCTTGCCATCTTAACTGTTGCCATCAACATCCACATGCCCTGTCTCCCACCTTAAACACTCCCTGACCCGACAGCCCTCTCTAGTGATCACCCTAAGCCCCTTTAGGGCCAGCTTGTCCTACCTTCTGCTCCCTCATTTTCCATTCACTCAACCAATTGAGTCTGTCCTCTATGCCACCCTTTTTGAAATTGTTGCCATCACGGTCATCAAACCCTCATATTACTGAATTCAGTGTACAGTTCTGCCTCCGTTCTACCTAAACCCTCACAAGCACTCTGCATAGTCTACTTTCTAAAAGCAGCTTTCTCTCCTCCTCTTCTCCTTTTACATGCCCTGTCCCTCTGCCCAAACTCTGGGGGTTGGGCTTCCTCAGGGCCTTGTCCTGAGCACTCTTTTTCTCTCTTTATGGATCACCTCACCCAGTCTAAGTTTTTCTATCACCTTTATGCAGACAAATCACAAATTTGTCTTAACCTGCCCAGAATGTCTTCCTTGATCCTGTCTCTTTCAAAAGCTTATTCCCCCACCCACCAGGCTTTCCCTACATCCTCAATATCAACGCCTTAAGACACAAACATAAAAGTCATCTTTGAATCTTCTTTCTTCCTTACTCCCTTCCTCCCACAACCAGTCCATCAGTAGGTCTTGTCAATGCCACCACCAATATCTCACGCAATCACATCCTTTCTGCCCATCTCCACTGCCCCTCCCTGCTCCAGATCACCACCATCTGCCATGTAGCTATGTGGCAGCTCCCTCTGTCTCCTCCTTCCTCTACTAGCCCTTCCAGTCCGTGTTCCACACAACATCAGGAGTGACTTCCCCAAAGCATACTCCAAGCCCCTCACATGGCCTGTGAGGTCCTATCTCATCAGACTCCCACCTACATCTCCACCTTGATCTCCTCTTACTCTGGTGTGCCCACATGGCCTTTTCCATTTATAGACCATACTTTAGTAGGTTAAAGTTGACTACCAGTTATTTGCTAGTCCTCTGCCCTATTCCTCATCGCCCCCATCAAGAAATGGAGTCTAAAAAAATATTCCATGCAAGTGGAAACTAAAAGAGATTAAGGGAAATCTACATATCTATATGTAGATATAATTACTTCAAATAGACTTAAAGTCAAAAACTGAAAAGAGACAAAAGAAGATCTTTATATAACCAGAAAGAGGTCAATTCATTAAAAGGATATAACAATTATAAATACGTATGCACCCAACATCAGAGCACCTAAATATATAAAGCAAATATGAATAAATCTCAAGAGAGAGACAGACTGTAATACAATAATAGTAGAAGACTTTAATACCCCACTTTCAGCAATGGACAAATCATACAGAAAAAAAGTAAATAAAACATCAGACTTAACAAATTTAGTGATATTAAAATCATATCAAGTATATTTTCCAACCACAATGGCATAAAACTGGAAATCAATAACAGGAGGAATTTCAGAAAATTCACAAATACATGGAAATGAAACAACATGCTCCTGAACAATCAATGGGTCAAAGAAGATATTAAAAGGGAAATTAAAAATTACCTTAAGATAAATAAAAATGGGGACACAACATACCAAAACCTATGTGATGCAGCAAAATCAGGTCTAAGAGGGAAGTTTATGGGATTAAACACTAACATTGAAAAGAAAAATGACCTAAATAAATAACCTAAGAGTACACCTCAAGGAACTAGAACAAACTAAGAACAAACTAAGCCTAAAGAACAAACTAAGCCTAAAGTTAGAAAAAGAAAATAATAAAGATCAGAGTAGAAATGAATGAAATAGAGACTAGAAAAACAATAGGTCAATGAGACTAAGAAGTTGGCTTTTTGAAAAGATAAACAAAATTCACAAACCTTTATCAAGACTAAGAAAAAAGAGATGATTCAAATAAAATAAAGAGGAAACATCAGAACTGATACTACAGAAATGCAAAAGACCACCAGAGGCTACTGTAAACAAGTATATGCCAACAAATTGAATAACCTAGAAGAAACAGATAAATTCCTAGACACACATAATTCTACCAATACGGAATCATGAAGAAAAATAAAATCTAATCAGACCAATAACACGTAGATGCATTAATAAGAAATGCTTTCCCATAAAAGAAAAGCCTAGGACCTGATGGTTTCATTGCTGAATTCTACCAAAAATTTAAAGAACAATTCCTCTCAAATTCTTCAAAAAACTGAAGAAGAGTAAATACTTCCAAATTCATTTTATGAGGCCAGCATTACCCTGATGCTAAAGCCAAAGACACTACAGGAAAAGGAAACTATAGGTCAATATGCCTGATGAACACAGATGCAAAAATCTCAAACAAAAAATGCTAGCAAACTGAATTCAACAGCACACGAAAAGGATCAGTCACCCTGATCAAATGGGATTTATTCCTGGGATGCAAGGATAGACCTTGTCAACAAATGCAAATCAATGTGATTCATCCTATTAACAGAATGGATAAAAAACATGTAATCATCCCAATAGATACATCTGATAAAATTTAACATCCTTTCATGATAAAAACTCTCAACACATTAGGTATAGAAGAAATGTACCTCAGCATAATAAAGGCCATATATGACCCACACACAGCTGACATCATACTCAATGGTAAAAAGTTGAAAGCTTTTCCTCTAAGATTATAAATAAGAGAAGGATGCAACACAGTACTGGAAGTCCTACCCAGACTTGGTAGGTCTTCCAAGACCTTGAAAGCCAGGTGGGGTGGCTCATGCCTATAATCCCAGCACTCTGGGAGGCCAAGGTGGGTGGATCACCTGAGGTCAGAAGTTGGAGACCAGCCTGGCCAACATGGCAAAACCCCATCTCTAGTAAAAATACAAAAATTAGTTGGGCATGATGGTGCATGCCTGTAGTTCCAGCTACTCAGGAAGCTGAGGCAGGAGACTTGCTTGAACCTGGGAGGAGGTTACAGTGAGCCAAGATGGTGCCACTGCACTCAATCCTGGGCGACAAAGTGAGACTCTGTCTCAAAAAAAAAAAAAGGAATTGAAGAAGACACAAATAAATGGCCCAACAAATAAATGAAAACAAATCCCTTGTTAATGAACTGGAAGAATTTATGTTGTTAAAATGTCCATATTACTCAAAGCAATCTGCAGATTCAATGCAATCCCTATCAAAATTCCAATGACTTTTTTCAAAGAAATAGAAAAGCAATTCAAAGATTCATATGAAACTACAAAAAAACCTTGACTAGCCAAAAAATCTTAACCAAAACAACAAAGCTAGAGGTATCACATTGCTTGACTTCACAATATATCATAAAGCTATAGTAACCAAAACGGCATGGTACTGTCATAAAAACAGACACACAGACCAATGGAACAGAATAGAGATCTTGGAAATAAATCCACACATTTATGGTCAATTGATTTTCCACAGAGGGTAAGAATACACAATGAGGAAAAGATAATCCCTTCAATAAATGGTGTTGGGACAACTGCATATTTCTGTGCAGAAGAATAAAATTAGAACCTTATCTCATACCATATAAAAAATAAACTCAAAATAGATTAAAGACTTAAATGCAAGACCTGAAACTGTAAAGCTACAGAAAACAGGGGAAAAGCTCCATGACATTGGTCTGGACAATGATTTTTTTGGATAAGACTTCAAAAGCACAGGCAACAACAACAAGAATAGACAAATGGGATTATGTCAAACTAAAACTTTCTGCACAGCACAGGAAACAGTCAACACAGTAAAGGGACAATCTATAGAATGGGAAAAAATAACTTCAAATCACACAACTGATGAGAGGTTAATAGCCAAAATATATAAGGAACATGAACAACTCAATAGCAAGAAAACACATAACCCAATTAAAAATGAGGCAGATGACCTGAATAGACATTTCTCAAAGAAAGGCAAATAGGTGTATGAAAAAATGCTCAACATCACTAATTATTAGGGAAATGAAAATCAAAACCACTATGGAATATCACCCCATATCTGTTAGAATGGCTATGATTAAAAAGATGAAAGGTAAGTATTAGAGAAAATATGAAAAGGGAATGCTTACACAATATTGGTGGAAATGTACATTAGTATGGTCATCATGGAAAACAGCATGGAGATATTTAAAAATAAAGAACTACTATATGGTCCAGGAATCCCATTACAGGGTATTTATTCAAAGTAATTGAAATTAGGATCTGGAGAGATAGCTGCACTCCCATGTTCACTGCAACACTATTCACAATAGCCAAGATGTGGAATCAACCTAAGTGTCCATCAACAGATAAACAGATAAAGAAAATGTGGTATATATACACAATGGAATACTATTTGGCCTTAAAATAGAAGAAAATTCTGTCATTTGTGACAACATGGATTAACCTAGATGACATGTTAAATGAAATAAGCCAGGTGAAAATACCACATGATTTCACTTATATATGGCATCTAAAAAAGTTAAACACATAGAAACAGAGAGTAAAATAATGGTTACTAGGGGTTGGGGGTAGGGAACAGTAATTGAGAAGATATTGATCGAAGAATATAAAACTTCAGTTAGGAGAAATAAGTTCAAAAGATCTGTTGCACAAATGGTGACTATAGTTAATAAACTGCATTAATTTGTGAAAATTGCTAAGAGTAAATTTTGTGTTCTTACCATGAAAGATGATAAATATGTGAGGTAATGCATATGTTAATTAGCTCAATTTAGCCACGCCACAATGTATACATATTTGAAAGCATCATTTTGTACACAGTAAACATAGGCAATTTTTATTAGTCAATGTTAGAAAATATTTTTTAAAAAACTATGTAGTTTACAAAGCTTAAAGTATTTGCTATCTGGCTTTTAAGAAAATGTTTGCCCATCCCTTCCCTGGAGTCTTGGAGAGCAAGGATGGCTCTCTATACCTTTTATAGTACCTGGCATTTAGTAGGTACATATTAAATATCTGTTGAAAGAAGTGAAGAGCCTCAAGGCCCAGCTCTAACTCCTCTTTAATGGGAGGCTCTTTTTTTGGAAGGGCAGGGCTAGACAGGTATGGGTCAGTTCTCTTCTGATAGTCCCAGAGTCTACAGCGAACCAAAGATGAAAGCTCTGAAGGAGAGACACCAGTACTCACAGGTCTCATGTCCATGCTCCGTCCAAGGGGACCTAGCTACTTCCTTACCCCTTCTCAGTTTCAGGAGAAGAAAAGTGTTGGAGATTGGTTAAGACCCTTTCCCACCAATTGCTGTGGTGAACCCTCCAGCAAGGGCATGGCTACTTTCAGGAAAGCAAAGAGGGTCCTCTGCTTCTCTATCCTTCCCAAAAAACATGGGCTGGGGTAGACCCTAAAGAGCAGGCATGGAGGACTGTGGGAAGGACTCAGCCTTGCTGTAGAAGCTCTCTGCAAAGCAAGAGGCAGGGTATGGTAACAAATGCCAATTCCTGGTTAAATTGGACTTGACAGGTGAAAGATGTCAGGCTGTGTGTGGTCACATTGTACATATGCATGCCTGGGGGTTACCAGGCTGTATGCAAATATACAAGGAAGAGGTAGGCTCTGAGAACCTGCCAGGGCCCCTGGGATGAGCTGTGGATTTTTGCCCCTGATCCCATGAATTGGAGGGTCCTCTGCTCAAAACATATGATATACATGTCTTCTTTTAATTTGGTATCGTCTTTAGGTCCGGAAGAGAAAACATTCCCTTCCTTGTACCAAAGTCCTCAGCTCAGGTTCCCTGAGTCCACAGAGGGTTGCCTCAGACGAACTGGGATCTGAAGTCCTGAGAAAGCACCAGCTTCCACCACTCCCAAGTCCTGGAGGGTATCCAGTAACTGCTCCCAGGCAGCACCAATAAAGCAATTCTCCAGAAAGATGGGCAGGCCTCCCACACCATCATGCAGGGTACAGGGGCACTCACACCAGGCCCAGCACCTGTAAAAGGAAGGAGACAGGAGACACTGGGACTCCAGGTAGCTCATGTCACTACCTCCATCCTCTCTTTAGCAGATCTTTCTAGAGCAGATGCCACAACTCTTAATACTCCAGCAGAAACAAGCCCAAGGCTCCTATCTAAAGGAGGCCCAGTGGGCTCAACCCTCTGCAGACAAATGACCCAAGACATGCTATCCAGCTCCATCAATGTTAATCCTTATGACTTCTGTCCCCTACACCTCTAGTGGCTCCTAACGCCAAAATTCATGCTTAGCCCTGCAACAATGGTTCTCAAAATGGGAAACCTAGACCAGCGTTATCAGCATCACTTGGGAACTTTTGAAAAAAGCAATCTCAGATTTCTGAACCCCTGCCCTCCCAGAACTTGGGAGTGGTGGAAGCTGGGGCTTTCTCACCCACAACCAGCGTTCTGGGAGTAGAATCTAGTCATTTTTGTTTTTATAAGCCTCAGAGATGATTCTGATACTTGACAAAATTTGAGAACTACCTCCATATACAATCTGTCTCCCTGGCCTTAAGTATTAGGGCCTTAAGTATTAGGGCCATATCTTCTTCCTAAGAGAAACAGAGGCCCAACAATAAGGGACTAGGGTAGATGCCTGGCCATTTTCACATTATCAATAGAGAGCAGCAGAGAGATGTAGATATGTGTGTTCTAGAAAAATCTCTCCAGAGCCCAGTAAAGGGCGAGGTGGGTGGAAATCTTCCCAGGAAGCCTAGGTTGGCAGTACCATTCAATAAGAGAAGACCAAGATCCCAACTCCACCAAGAAAATGGGGAAGAGGGCAAGTTCTGACAGACGGGGACCTCAATCCAAAAAGAGTTGCTGAGGCAAAGGAAGACATGGAAGGAAAAGGAATAAGATATGGGGCAGGGTCCCAGACTGGCCCCACCTCCAGCCCGTGGTCCTTGGCCCCTGTTGCGCTGGCCTCCACAGCCAACAGCTGCTCGAGCGTCAGAGATTTGGCATAGAAGTGGGCCACAACACGTGGCCTTGATCCGGCGTGAGAGCTGCGGTAGTCAGGGCGCTCCACGCGGAAGGCGGCCGCCGCCTCGCCCAGCAGTTCCAGCAGACCACGGTTCAGCCCGTCCTCCAGGCTGCTGTCTTGCGAGTCCACGAATCCGCCAGGGAAGCCCAGGCGCCCATCAAAGCGCATCTGCATCTGAGAGAGGAGGAAGCTGGGATTGGCAGGGACACCCGAGAGTAGCGCCGCAAGGAAGGTGCAAGGCCAGAGCGGAGAGTGGCCGGGCGCGCGCCCTCCTCACCAGTATGGCGTAGCGCAGAGGGAGGCGGCCAGAGAGAATTCCAGGGTCCGGCGCGTGCAGGAGCGCATAGCAGGCATGCCTCTAGCCTGGCCCCAGCGCCAGGGCCTCGGCCAGCTCCAGCCTGCGGGCCCTGGCCATGGCCCGACACTGCTCTTCCGCTGTTCCGAAGGCCTACGAGGGCACAAGGGCGAATCTCACCTCGGACCAATCCGAGCGTGGGCGGTGCCGCAAGGCACCAGCCCTGCAGGGATAAGGGGGAGGAACCTGGGCGCCTTAGGTCAGGGCGCAGCGACCGGTGCCGGAGGCAGCCAATCAGGGCGGGGCTTGCAGACCGGACTGATGTCCAGAGCCCAGGAACCTTAGGGAAACCATAAGCAACCTCTGGGTTGGGCTTGCGGCGGGGCGGGGCGGGGCTGAAGGTGTGGCAGCGCCCTGAACCTGGAGAAAGGCTAGTACATAAACGCCTACGTCAGAATCTGGAGTCAGCTGGAGTGTGCCAGCAGGTAAGGGAGAGCTGGGGCGCTCACTTGAGTGCTGGGAGCCAAAGAAGTAATAACTACCTTTGGTTGGGTGTGGTGGTACACAAAGCACAAGGCCTGGGTGGGGGTTAGGAGGAAATGAGGCAGGGTTGGCCTCAGACACCAAGGCCTATCCTAGGGAAATGGGGATGGAGAGGCGCCATGGTCTGACAACTGTCTTGAGTGGTGAAACTGTGGGGACTTGGTAACTGAGTGAATGGGGAAGAGGGAGCGCTGGGCTAGTGTTGGTTCCGAGTTTCCTGGATGTGGTGTCATTTTCTGAGAGGGGGAGAGTAGGAGAAGGGTGAGCAGTGATAAGTGTAGTTCTAAGGAATTGGGGCGGCCACAGGCAGTGGGCAGCTTATCGCGGGGATCTGACGCACAGGAAGTGGCACATGGAGAAGTCACAGGGCAGTGAGATTTTCAGGGGAAGGGTGGGGGTGGAAGGAGCTGTGAGTGAAATCCTGTGGCACAGGACTGGGAGTGAGGAGGGGTGAGAGATAGAAGAAGCCTCCTAGGCTTTCTAGTCTTTCCCTCAAACCCCCTCAGACCTCTGAGCTATGAAGGAGGGTGGGTTACCCTACCACAAGGGCAGAGGCCTACTCAGGGCCTGATGCTGAGATGCAGGATCCCTCACTCCAGGCCAGGCCTTCCCCACCGTGCAGAGCGCCCCTACACCAGGTGTCGATATTGATTATGCAATAGAAAGCAGGAGGCAGCTCCTTGAGGGGGGCTGGGCATAAACTCACAGCCTGTAAGTGACGGCATATGGTGGGAAAGAGTCCGGACCCACCCAGAAACAGGTTTGTGCCCTTAACAAGTCACTTAACTCTCTCAGATCCCAGCAGCTCATCTGTTAAGTGGAGATGATACCAACCTATTAGGGATGTTGAGATATGTAAAGCACTTAGAACAGTGCAAGGCAGAAAATAAATGTATCCATTCTTGGAGTCGAGGGTTGGGACACGCTGCTGTGTGTTATGTTAAAGACCCAGGAGTTGGAACTGAGCCACACTCATCAAGGCCCCAGTGTTTCAAGCAGGGATGAAAACTGTTAGGCATCATTTTTCCTAGCTTAGTCTTCTGAGTTGCAGGGTGGAGATGCCAAATACTAACATCAGATGGGCAGATCAAGGTGATAAAGCTGTAGGTGTGACACAATCCATGTTGGCCTGCTATCATTCTGGGGACTTGGAAATGGCCCTGGCTTCATGTTACACTCACCTTGCTCTAAAAGCGGATAGCAACTGCCAATTTCCGGGTTCCAGCCAGAGCAACTGAATCAGAATCTGTGGAGGTAATACAGGGACATGTGGCTTTTCAAAGATGTTTCAGGTAACTAATAGCCAAGGTGGAGAAGAGGTGATCTACCCCTCTCCCCAGCATTTCAAAGGTAACCTTCTCTCCTAGATTAGCTACTTTTAAGGATTTAGGGTTAAACATGCCCTTTCCAGATCTTCAGGCTGTTCTTTCTTTCCTGGTTGCTTGAAGAGACTTTTAAAGATGGACTCAACTATTTATAAGGCAACATGAAAATCTATAAAAGCCAAGGCAACAGCTATACAGGAATTAATGCTTTGGAGACCAGAGCTTTTTCTGGATGAAGAAAATGGAAGCCCATAAGAACCCCCAACTTTGCCATCCCTTTCAAATCCCTCTCTGCTTCTGCCTCACCTCCCCACCTCCGCCAACCATCCCCCATTCACTATCCTGAGGCAGAATGCCCAGGACTCAAGGCTGGAGGTAGAGGGCTGAGCAGTGTACCTAAAAAGCTGCTTCAAGTTCATGGCGGTACGTGGAATCAAAAATAGCTCTGTGGTCAGTCTGGGAGGATGCTAAGGAACCAATTCATTTTTAAAATAATGAGGAAAAGAATTAAACATTTATCATGCTTTTAAATTTTATTTATTTATTTATTTATTTGAGATGGAGTCTTGCTCTGTCACCCAGGCTGGAGTGCAGTGGCGCAATCTCGGCTCACTGCAACCTCTGCCTCCCAGCTTCAAGTGATTCTCATGCCTCAGCCTCCCTGAGTAGCTGGGCTTACAGGTGCCCACCATCACGCCCAGCTAATTTTTGTATTTTGAGTAGAGACAGGGTTTCGCTATGTTGGCCAGGTTGGTTTTGAACTCCTGACCTCATGTGATCTGTCCACCTTGGCCTCCCAAAGTGCTGGGATTACAGGTGTGAGCCACAGCGCCCAGCCCATCCTGCCTTTTTTATATGGGCTCTTCCTCAGGGCTACTAAATAGTTGATGAGAGGAAATTTTATAAGTATTCTAGCTAATCAAAGAAGAAGGAGCCAATCAAAATTTTACAATTTTTTTTAAACTTTAAAGAATTAATGGATCCTAGGGAATGATCATCAATGTTTGCTAAAATCATGAAAAGGCAACCAGTTACTGTGCACTTCATGATGGAAGAAGACATCACCTCCTATTAATTTTTCTTGCACAAAATTGAAGTTGAATCTCAACCTAAATACCAGTTATAAGAAATATAAAGGTGCCCCTTTTTAAAATATCAGGAAGAGACTAGAATGATCCATGTAATAGTGGATTCGAGTTGGAGACATCAGTATTAACTCATGTTTAACTTAATATAGCTACATATGTTTATATAGGGAAATATTTGTAGATATGTACACACCTCTTTTATAAAGTCACTAATCTAATTTGTGAGGCCCCTGCCCTCATGACCTAATCACCTCCCAAAGGCCCTACTTCCAAATGCCAATAAATTGGGAGTTAGGATTTCAACATATGAATTTAGGGGGAACAAAAATATTCAGTTGATAGCAATCATGAAATACAATGAAAGTCTGAGAAACTCTCACAACAAAGACTAGCCTAAGGACACATGACATGACTAACTGGATTAGATAAATCTGAATAAGGTATAGACTTTGTCTAATGATAATGTATCAAAATTGGTTCATTATTGCAAGAAATGTACCATAATAATGTAAGATGTTAATTACAGAGTAAATTAGGTGGAGTAATGGGAACTCTAGGTACTATCTCCACGCTTTTCCTGTAAATATAAAAAACTTTAAAAAATATATAGAGGAGGTCTCAGTATATTGCCCAAGCTGGTCTCCAACTCCTGACCTCGAGCTATCTTCCCACCTGCACTTCCTAAAATATTAGGATTACAGGCGTGAGCCACTGCACCTGGCCTGCAAATGTAAAACTTTTTTAAAAGTTTGTTTTTAAAACACATGAGGATGCAATCAGTAAATCCTAGACTGAAAGTTTACAAGAAAAATGACCTGGTTTCAGTAGTAAATGAATTACAAGGGAAAAAGAAATATGGTGGTAGACTCTATACATTAAAAGAGATTGAGGAGACATATCAATTGAAGCACCTGGGCTTTATTCTAATTTGAACAAACAAATTCAAATAGTGAGGGACAGGAGAATACTGATTGGATATTTTATATACAGGAATTATGGATAATTGAGATGTGATAGTATTGTGGCTATGTTTCTTAAAAGAGTTATCTTTTAGAGATACATATATTTAAATAAAGTTTTGCATTGTACAAAACTCTTTCAATGAGAGGATCCCCTTTGGTTCAGGAGAGGGAGAGAGGTAAGAGTGTAGTCTCACTTTTTAGGCAGGAAGAAACTGACAGCAAACATCTGCCATCTGACAGTTATTTTTAAACCATTCCACTTAATCCTCATGAAATTTTCCAGGTGCTTTGAATGCAGAGCCAAGGTTGAGAACTACTAATTTAGAAGACTATACCATGGTGGGAGTGGGGAGGAGATGCTACCAGCAGAGAGCTATCAGCTAGAGGCTGTAATTTTACCCAATTACTTCCTGAAAGTGCTAGATGCTGTTGCTTATTATTATTAAGCATTCACATAACCTAAAATCCCATTCAGGAGCCTTAAAGGAGGTGCATTTTCTAGAAGCTAACACTGTTTTTGGTTATTTGCAGGTATAGCATCAAAACTATCCACTGCTCTGTTATCCGGAGTTCATTAAGTAGATCCATTTCACACTATCAGGACAGAATTTTTCAGACACCTGAAGCTCTGTGCCTAGACCTTATTTATTTATTTATTTATTTATTTATTTATTTATTTATTTATATTTTGAGACTGAGTCTCACTCTGTCACTCAGGCTGGAGTGCATGGTGTGATGCACTCCATCTCCCAGGTTCAAGCAATTCTCCATCTCCCAGGTTCAAGCAATTCTCCATCTCCTAGGTTCAAGCAATTCTCCATCTCCCAGGTTCAAGCAATTCTCCATCTCCCAGGTTCAAGCAATTCTCCTGCCTTGCCCTCCCCAGTAGCCGGAATTTCAGGCGCCTGCTGCCATGCCTGGCTAGTTTTTGTATTTTAGTAGAGATGGAGTTTCACCATGTTGGCCAGGTTGGTTTCGAACACCTGACCTCGTGATCCACCCACCTCGGCCTCCCAAAGTGCTGGAATTACAGGCGTGAGCCACTGAGCCTGGCCACCTAGACCTGTTTAATTGAATACCCCACAAGCACCCCAAACTCAAAACACCCAGGAATGAACTCAGTATTTTTCCAGCCGCCCAATCTGCATGTCTTCCTGTATCACCAGCTCTGTGAATGACCTGTCTCCTGCCCAGTCACCTGTGCTGTAAAACTACCAGTCCTCACAGACCACTCCATCACTCCTCTACCCATCCAGTCAGTCCTCAGTTCTCTCTCATGATCTCCCCTCAGGATGTCTTGACTTCATCAGATGCAAGTCAGGCCTTCATCTTTTCTCACCTGGACAAACCTCCTGCCTTTCTGTCCTGCTTCCAGTCTCACCCTTTTCAAACCTGCTCTCCACCCAGTGCCATGATACAGCTAAAGATCATGTTCATCAATAACTTTGCAGTGGCTGCCCCTAAATACAGGACACAGCAGAGCAAATGTGACAGCATGTATCTGAGCTTTGCCTTCTGTATTGGTGATGTTTTGCTGAAACATACTGTAAAATGTGTTAACACCATCAAAAGAAACATTCATTATTTCACAGTGTCTGTAGGTCAGGAATTAAAAGGGGGTGGTTCTAGCTTAGAGTTTCTCATGAGGTTTTAGTCCAGATGTCAGCCAGATCTGTAGTCAAATGTAGGCTTGACCAGGGCTGGAGAATATGCTTCCCATATCTCACTGACACAGCTGGCAAGGTGGTGCTGGCTGTTGGCAAAATGTCTCAATTTTTTATCCCATAGATCTCTCCATAGGGTTGCCTACATGTTCTTACAACACAGTGGCTGGCGTCCTCCAGTGTGGGTGATACAGATGAAATCCATGTGTTTTATGACCTAGTCTCAGAAGTCACACACCATCACTTCTACATTATTCTGTTGGTCACACAGGCCGCCCCGAGGCAGTGTGGGAAGGATCTACACAGGACGTGAATACCAGAAGTGAGAATCACTGGAAGTCATGTTGGAGGCTGGCCACTATCCCCTTCTCGCTAAACCTGACATTATCACTCTCATATTTCATGTTCCACCAGCACCAAAAGATTTCAGATTCCCAGAACCTATAGGGCTGTGTCTTCCATCTTTGTGTTCCTCATGCCTGCAAGATCTTTTCCTCTCTTTTGTCTGGTGAATTCTTATCATTCAAAATTGTGTGCTTATACTTAGTGCCTAGTACAGAATGGGAGCTCAACACACGTTGAGCTGAAATCCAAAGAATAGAATTAGAAGGGATAGTCCAGGTAGGCTCCATGCTATCATCCCACATTACCTTGAAATATGCTGAAGGCCAGGAAAGTCAGAGTTTGTGGCTCACCTGGGCCATATTGAAAAAGGGTATCCATATTTTGTCTAAGAAGCCACAGAATAATATAGTTGGAGACAAACTTCCTCCAGATTTATAAAAATCAATGCCAAAAAAATTTTTTACAAGCCCAAGGATTTGATAAAAAAAAAAAAGTGTTGGAGGAGGAATAAAGAGTGATGTCAGGAGAAGGAAGACATGTTGGTTAGCTTATTGACATAATAATGCCACATAACAACCAACCACAAATCCTGAATAGCATGCAGCAAGAAATATGTATCTCTTGCCTGGGAGTTTTATGTCCCCTGGAGCGGCTCTGCTTTGCCTGCAGTGGCTGAGATGACTTTGCGTCACTCTGTGGGTTGGCTGGTGTGGCTCTGTTCCATCTCTGTCATCCTCCTATGATAGGCTGGCTGGTGATGAGGGAGATGCAAGAGAACATATCCAACTGCACCGACATGTTTCCAGCCCCTTAGTATATTCCTCAGCCAAAACAAGTTCCATGGCCAAACTCAGAGTCAAGGAGTGGGGAAATATTGAGAACTACAAAGTTATAAGGCAATAGTCAGGGGTTTAGGGAGGGGTAAATTGGGACTAAAAATTCAAACTATCAAAGTGGGAAAAGCCACAAAATTTTGGGAAGGAAAAAGAATGTTTCTAGCTGTTGAAAGATTGTCTCCTGAACTAAACCTAAAAATCTACTTTGAAAATATTCCTGCTGGGGCCAGGTGCAGTGGCTCATGCGTGTAATCCCAGCACTTTGGGAGGCCGAGGCAGACGGATCACCTGAGGTCAGGAGTTCAAGACCAGCCTGGACAACATGGTGAAACCCTGGCTATACTAAAAGTACAAAAAATAATAGCCAGGTGTGGTGGCACTTGCCTGTAATCCCAGCTACTCAGGAGGCTGAGGCAGGTGAATCGCTTGAAGCCGGGAGGCGGAGGTTGTGGTGAGCCGAGATCGCACCACTCCGCTTTAGCCTGGGCAACAGAATGGGACTCTGTCTCAAAAATAAACAAATAAATGAAATAAAAAAGAAAATATTCCTATTGGTGTCAAGTTTTCAATTCTGTATAAATGTTAATAACTGTGGTACTCCTAGTGAATATTTGTGTATTATTTTATAATGTATATTTGTTGAACCAAATTTCTGAACTTCCTTCTAAAGTTAAGGAAAAAACTTGAGCATCCTAAGATTTCTGGCAATGATGAACACTGTGGTGTTGCAGACTCATGAAGTGAGTTGAGGCACTGAAAGAAAGCAAGGCTGGTCTGGAGAGTCCACTGACTTGCCTTCCAGAGCTGTCTTCCTCATGGTTCTGTCAGCTCTTAGCTGGCTCTCAGCTAATTTCTGGTCAAGTGCTAGCTGAAAATGGCTAAAAGTGTTTATCTTTCAGGGTGCATTTGGATGGTAATTATAGAAGCCTAGAAACCTAAGGGAGTCTTCAGGGATGAATCTCCAATGGTGGAAGATGAGGTAGCTTGATAATACATTTAATGATTTTTTTTCCTCAAAGTTGAGAACATTTTATGGCATTTAAAGCACTTCTACACATTAGGCTGAATCACGGTGGCAATTTCATGTGATTCAACCTATTGTATTATTTATTCTTTACAGCAATCTTCAGACACAGGCAGGAAACAGATTCAGGGGAAATCACTTAGTTGCTTTAGATCACACAGTAAATGGTAAGAGTAGGCCTGGAATCCAAGTCATCTGCTATCAAGTTCAATTTTTTTCCTTACACAGGTGTGGCAGAAGTACTTTAAAACATTTGTTTTGCTCTGTGTCCACCCGTGCCTCTCTCCTTCCCCCAGCCCCACACTTTCTCCTTCTCTTTGCCTGTTTCTGTTTATCACCTTAGTGGCCTGGCCCCATTCCCTTCTGATACACTAGCTAGTGAACCCATCATCTTGAAAGAGGAATGTGGTATATTTCCCCCTGTTGAGCTACTGCTTAATTTGTCAGCCTCCTTTACTCTGAGCCCACTGTGATGGCTGGACTCTTAAAATATACCTAGGGCTTTGCTCCAACTTCAGCCCCAAAGACATTAAATAATTAACTTCCAGCACTCTCCTTTGTGTGCTTTATCTCTGCATCACCCAAAATAGCTGGTGGCATTTCCTCTGTATAAATAGAAAGCAGAAAGGTCAACTGGCATTTTTGAAATATATATGTATATATATATTTTTTTTTACAAAGCAGCAAGCTAGCAGGATCCCTTTATTTGCTCATACCTGTGACTGTTTCATAACAAGAAACTTCCTAGTTTAACTCCTTAGTCAATTTCCCCCACCATCTTGCAGTTGGATCGTTACTAATACAATTTGAAGTGGTTCAAAATTAAGACTGAGTACAGCTGAAAGAGAAAGCATTTTCTCAGTGGTGATAAGTAAAAGATTTAACATTCAAGTAATGTTAAATCTTCTTCCCCACTCCCACCCCAGTGAACCAAATGAAAGTAAACTTGAGTGAGCTTCTCTTTAGAGGCATGGAGCTATGATTCAAAATGATATTTCTTCCTAGCTCTTTTTTCTTTTGAGCCTGATGAAGTGCATAACACAAATCCCTGGAGAGTAAGCTGTTTTTAGTCTGCACCTGTCTTCTAAGAACCATGTTCTGAAATGCAAGATAGGAAGGTGAATCTGTTTGTGAAAGAAACTATTTGAAAATCTAGCTATTTCCTCTTAGGACCCAGCACACAAGTTTTGTTCTGTTCTAATGTTATAAAAACCATCGACAAGAAGATTGGGCAATTTTTATTAACTGGGGTAATATTATGGTCCCCGCTCTTCCAGTCATATTTGCAATCTGGTTGGTCACAAAAGGGCATGTGAGCTCTGGGGAGCATTTTCTGGGGTGAGGTCTCTTCCCTGTTAATGTGATGGCAATTTGCATGCCTGCTGTCAGCAGCAGTGTGGTCACATGCCCCCATCATCCTAGGTTTCCCAGGGCAAACCTGATTTTCAGTGTTCTACCATGGCAACAACCACGGGTCGTAGATTTTGACCTGGGAAACACACTCAAGTTCCAAATTCTGAAAAGTCTCAGATCCCACCTCCAGAAGCAGTATTTGAGGTCTGCTTTTCCTGCTGCAGACACAGGGGCTGTGAGAGCACAGACATGCTCCTGACCCCCAGCCTCCCAGCCAGGAATAATTCTCCAGTATGCAGGGAGAGAGGGTGAGAATGGGCATCATTAGCTTTGGGAAGAGGCAGAATGAAGTTTTGTGCAGCCCCCAAAACCTCTCTATAGTGTAAGGGAGTTGTGGGAACTCAGAAGAGTGATGTTCATAACCCTTGAGCACTAGAGAAATTGTGGGTTCACCTGGGTGGTTCCTTTGGTTGCTGGGCAGGGATAGAAGTGAAGCCACAGGATAGAGTGTTAGGGCACAGTGGCCATGCCCCTTTGTCCTTAAAATAAGCCCATTAAGTTCTCTCAAGTTATTCACACTGACTCACCTACCACTCCACCCCAGTCACTACTTGCTTATATTCACTGTGAAGCATTTGAAGTCTTTGGACCCTTCTTGGAAGTCCTCATACCACCTTCCAAGATGTGAGATTAATTAAGCCCCCAATTAAGAGCAGCCAAAACACTGTTCCAAAAAGAGGGAGGGGGAGAAGAGAGACAACAGAAAGAAAGGTCTTGAACAATTGTTCTGTGTGGTACCAGTGGCACTGGCACCACCTGGAAACATGTTAGAAACCGTGATCTCTTGAATCAGAAATGCTGGTGATGGAATCCACCAATCTATGCTTCAACAAGCACTCCAGGTGATTCGAATGCATGCTCAAATGTGGGAATCACTGGTCTAAAAGAGTGCATCATGCAGGAAGCACAGCACCACTGAAAACAAGTTAGTAAGATAAAGAAACTCTCTTAGTTTCCTCAGTCATCAGCAGGAGGCTGAAAAGTGAATAACAGTACTGTGGGCATCAAATTCACCCAGACAGTTCTGAAACAATAGATATGTTTTAGCCCCTTGTCTTCCCAGAGAAGGGAGTGGGGTGGGTCTTGGTATTGACAAAGATTATCTCCTCGACCAAACTTTAGACAGGCTCTTTTGAGCCCTCTTTTTTATGAGGCCTCATTCTTGGCTCTGTCTTCAGCCTGCCAAACCCAGTTTTAGCAAGAATTCTGGTAAAGTCAGTTTATTGAGAATACCCCACATTTGATAGCTGATCACCCTCAGTATCTGATCAAATTCCTCATCACCTGCCCTCAATCTCTGATGACCCTGGCCTTCCTCCAGTGGGAATCTTAAGTCAGTTTAGCAGGAATCTCCCTGCTATGGTGTGAATATTTGCCTGCTCCAAAACTTATGTTGAAATTTGATCCCCAAAGTGGTGATGTTGGGAGGTGGGGCCTAGTGGAAAATGTTTGGATTATGGGGGAGCACCCTGAAAAATAGCTTGCTACTGCTCTGGAGTTCTTGCTCTCTAGGCTGGATTGTTTCTTGAAGGAATGGATTATTTCCCCAAAGGGTGGGTGTTATAATGCCAGGACACCCCTCAGGTTTCTCTGTCTTCCTACTTGTCCACTTCCCCTTCATTGCCGTGTTGTGATGGAACACAACAGCTTTTGCCAGAAGCCAGGGCCATGCCGTTGAACTTCTCAGCCTACAAAACCGTGAGCTACATAAACTTCTTTTCTTTATAAATTACTCAGCTTCTGGTATTCTTTTATGGCAACACTAAACAGATGAATACAACCCCCAACCTTTGAATACTCCTTTTAGAAATTTTCCATCCACCAAGGCCCGTATCCTGCTAATTGGCTATTAATCTCTAGTTTTCTTTGCTTCAGCAAAGAAACTTCAGAGTTGAGCCCAATGCCTCTCCCATATTGCAATATTGTTGATACCTATCAAAATAGTCCTGATTACAGTCTTTTTGCCATTTCAATAAGTGTCAATAATTTTTTCATTAACAGTATATTTAAATGTGTCTATGTTTAAAAAGCTTCACAAGCAAATCTAATATAGTTCCATGGTTGAAAATTCTGATAGACACTGGTTAAGAGTATGGATTCTGGAATGCGACAGACCTAGTTTCAAATGCCAACTCTGCTTCTTGCAGCTGAGTGACTAAGCAAATTACCTAACCTGAGCATCTCTCTTTCTCTGTTGTCTCTCTCTCTCTCTTTCTCTCTCTTTCACTCTATCTCTCTCAAGTTAGTGAAAAGATCCAATGAAGGCCCTTAAACTACTAAGCACAGTACTAGTACCCAACAGGCACCAAATTAACCAAATATTACTGGCTCTAAGTAATAATTATCAAAGGATGGATATGTTACATTCAATAAGAAAGTTTTACATAAGGAAAAGATAAAATAGGTGATTTATTTTGTAACTGTGAAAACTATGTTTATTTTGAATACAAATCTTGAATTATCTATGGATGAGTTTGAAATAAATCATAGAAGAGAATCACTTTTTGGATTTTTAATCCAGGTCCTTGTGTGTGTATGAAATACACACATATCTTCCTTATTAGTCATGGAAGGGCAAAAGTGGACCAAAAACAGGTCAGCTAAGACAGGCATGTCTGGCTTCTGGGCTGTAGCTCAGCATGTTGTAGGCTAGAGTCCAGTGACCTTCACTGGCAGGCTGCCTACAGTCCATGAGACCCTAGGCAGTCAGGCACTGAGCTCTGTCCTCCAGCTGAAAATAATGAAGAGCACACGGCTTCTCCCCGGTCATCGTCAGGGTGACTCAATCCTGCTGGAAGCCCTGAGGGCGCACATGAGAGAAATGCTTTTCAAGGGAGCCAAACTTGATCTATAAGCTTATCTCAGGGTATAGTCCAAATAACACTTATGACTCCAAGCATAGGCAGCCATGCTTACTACTCTCTAAAGAAGCCAGTACTTCTGATGAGGAATTGAAAGTCAAGATGGGAGCTCTGCTTTTGTATCCATTCCCCATAATAGAGTTCAGCTTATATGTTAAATGAATTTTCACATAAATTTGTCCACTTGAACTTCTGCTTCTTTTTGATAGTTGCCTAGAGATGGTTCTGGAGAGTAGGTTCTTTTCCCATCGTGATCAGCAACTGCTCTTCAAAGTACAGGAGCTGGTCCACTTCAAAACAGTCGCTGGCTTGAGGCACCACTTTTTCCAAACACTCGCGGATCTCTGCTTCGCTAGCATTCTGATGCCTTGCTCTCTTGAGGTAATTATAGACCTCTTCAAATACTTCTGTCCCCAGCTTCTGCATGGCTGATCTGTCAAAAAAGTTACAAAAGATTACAAAGAGTTACACATTAAGATCACCTGCAGGAAAATGTGCTTTTAAATCATTGATTTTACAAACATTGTCATTCTGGGATTTAGAAAAAAAGGGGGAAGAAAAGGCACAATATCTCCACCCTAAACATTTAACAGTATTCAACAAATAATGCCTCAATGTCTATTATGTGCCAGGTACCCTTCAAGGAACTGGGAATATAGCAGTAAACAAGTTAGGCAAAGTCCTGCCCTTGTGTGTGTATATATATATAATACACAGATATACACACAGATGTGTTTATATAAACGTATGTATATATACACATATACACATAAGATATCAGATGGTTCTAAGTGCAATGAAGAAAAAGCAGGGTGAGGCGGACAGGAAAATCCTTCTGAGGAAGTGTCATTTGAGCAAAAGCTCTCAGGAAGTAAGACAAATACTAGGGGCAAAAGAATTTTGGCCCTAAGGCTAAAACATATTGGAAAAATAACAAGAAAGCTATTGTGGCTGGAGTTAGTAGAACAAAGGGAAACAGGATGGTGGGATATAAAATGCAGAAATAGTTAATAATAACAAAATAATAATGAGGAGGAGGAGGAGGAAAATGAGGGGGAGAATAGTTTTGTTTGCCACTTGCCAGGTCCTTTTCTACTCACTTTGCCCTTTCAATCACACTTAACCTTTACAACAGCTGTACGAAGGAGGCAATTTTTTAAATCCCTATTTTACAGATGAAGAAACTGAGGCTTAAAAGGGGTAAAGTTATTTGGCCAAGTTTCCACCAAGGCCGACATTCATTTTTTCCACACTTCCAGTGATTGTCCATATGTCAACATAATCTTTATGTTATAATCATATTGCCATATCTAGTATGTTTATTTCACCGTTGACTATTTTCCTCTATCTCCAGAAAGGGTCACAAACTAAAGACCTATGGGCAACATTTGGTCCATAACATGTTTTGTTTTTCAATACCATGTTTTATCTTCCTTTATTATTTTTAAATGTTTTAATGTGAATGTCTTTATGTGGGGCCTGCAAGCACTCTGTACTCTGCATTTTCTGACCGTCTTTGACCTACCTCCCCTATCTTTTATCATCTTATACCAGGCTCCTTCTCATAGTTCTTCTACCCACTTAACTCAAGGGCATTCAAGTTGGTGGATTTTGTTTTGCGGTTCTTCACGGTTGTCGTTTTTAATGGCTCCATATTGTTCCACTGAATTTATGTGCCAATATTTACTCCATTTTCCCTTCACCAAACAATGAGCTTTTTTTTGCTCCTTTGCACTATAACATAGTGTGAATACCTCATCTTTAGATATTAGGCTTTTACATTTTAGGGGAATATTTTATGACATCAAATTTTTAGGAGTTGGGCTATTATGTGTGTGTTCACTCTAAAAATTTATATGTGTACTTATGGTTTCTGCACTTTTCTCTGAAGAACAGAGAAAAGAGTAAATATATGTTGTGCTTGATTAAATGATAAAAATGTTATGGGAATGAGATTATTAGGTCAAAGTGTATAAATATTTGTGTGACTTTAACTTGAAGAAATATTACTTTTTCTTCATTTCAATGGATTTGGTAAAAAGAAAAACCAGGATGTGTATTTTTTTTTTTTGGAGATGAAGTCTCTGCACTGGTGTGATCTCAGCTCACTGCATCCTCTGCCTCCCAGGTTCAAGCGATTCTCCTGCCTCAGCCTCCCGAGTAGCTGGGATTACAGGTGCCTGCCACCACGCCTGGCTAATTTTTGTAATATTGGTAGAGATGGGATTTCACCATGTTGGCCAGGCTGGTCTCGAATTCCTGACCTCAGGTGATCCCAAAGTGCTGGCATTACAGGCCCACCTTGGCCTCCCAAAGTGCTGGGATTACAGGTGTGAGCCACCGTGTCCGGCCTTTTTTCACAATTTTTGAAGCATTAATGCTTAACAGTAATGATGGTAATGTTGATAATAACATTGGAGACATTAGTCACAGACTCATTCATTTTATAAGCTTTTATTGTTCAGTGTTATTCAAGCTTGTAATCTCTAAATCATAGGATATGTGTTACGTATTGTGGCCGATAAAGAGATGAATAGGTAATTCTTCTAGCTCTGGTTTAAAGGCTGGTCATGACAATGCAAGACATAAATTTTTAATTTTAACTAACATTTCTATAGCCCTTTAGAGCTTGCAAAGTGCTTTTGCATTCATTATTTCAAATGCTCCTTATGAACTAGGCAATTCATTGAACATTTGTCTTCATTTTACAGATGAGAATAAGCAGGTTTTTCGTAGCCTTTCACAAGCTCACACAGTTAGTGTGGTAGAGTTTGGACTCAAATGCTGATCTTAAAACACCAGATGCTGGAGAAACCAGCAGCCCTAGGCTCCACAATAAGTTTCCCACCTTCTGTCATGAGATTGTCAGGACTGATTCCAGCATGCCTAACATCCCTAGTCACCTCAGTCACCCCCACAAAATCCAGGTGTTTCTTTTGCTGACATCTACCAAACCCTGGTCATTCTCTTCATACACTGATTACTTCAGTGACTAGCCCACTCTTTCTTCCACCTTGTACTCTTGTCATCATTCTTAACTTCTGTATTCTTGCTGTCTCTGGTTTTGAACTGCCTCGCATTCAGCCATCATTTCTTTTACCCTACCTGAGTTGCCCATTCCCATGATCATATCAATTGACCTCATCAGTGCCAATGACTACATGACCTCTGAAATTGATTTCAAGCCTCCTACTCTCTAATCACCCCCTCAATGCCCTCCCACCATACTTACCAGCTAATCTTCCACTTCATGGTGCCCTTCACTTCGACTCTACCCCCATGATAATAATTACTCACTTCTTTTGTAACCTCATATACTCACTCCTCACCTACCTCCTCACAGTTAATTTCATGGCCCATCATCATAACCATTATCTCGCAAATACCTTTGACTTTTTCCACCCCTTTCCCTTTGTTTGGCAAAGACCTAATGGTTAAACTCAGTCGTATACCTACTCCATGGCTGTACCCAAACAAGAGAATATTTATGGAGAAAAGCATCCAAATATACCAAGTCTCTCATTTAAGATGATAATCTTGATTCAGAATGGCACTCAGCACTGCCCAGCAATCTTACCGTGTTTCCCCAGTATGTTTATTTTCCTCCCAAAATGACTACTTCAAATGTTTTCCTTTATTCTTTTAAAAAATATTTTATTTTTGATTTTTAAATTTTATTGTGTATATTTGAGGTTTACAACATGATGTTTTGGGATACATATAGATAATAAAATGGTTACTATAGTGAAGCAGATTAATATATCTATGACCTCACATAGTTACTTTTTTATGACAAGAACAGCTAAAATCTACTTATTTAACAAAAATTCCCAATACAATATAATTTTATTAATTTTAGTCCTCATATTGACATTAGATCTCTAGACTTGTCCATCCTACGTATCTACTGTTTTGTATCCTTTGACCTACATTCCCTCATTTCCTCTCCCCTACCAACCCTGCCTGAGGTAACCGTTGTTTCATTCTCTATCTCTGTGTACTTGAGCTCTTTTTTTTTTTAAATATTCCATATATAATTGAGGTCATGCAATATTTTTATTCCTATGTCTGGCTATTTTTCACTTAGCGTAATGTCCTCCAGGTCTATCCATGTTATGGCAAATGACAGGATATCCTTTTATAAGGCTGAATAATATTCCATTGTATATATATGCCACACTTTCTTTATCCACTTCTCCATTGATAGACATTTAGATTGTTTCCATATCTTGGCTATTGTGAACAATGTTGGAATGAACATGGGAGATATCTTTATGGGGTGGTATTTTCTTCTCCTTTGGGTATATACCCAGAAGAGGGATTGCTGGGTCATTGGTAGTTATACTTTTAATTTCTTTAGGAACCTCTATATTGTTTTCCATAGTGGCTGTACCAGTCTACTGTCCCCCAGCAGTATATATTAGGGTTCTCTTTTCTCCACACCAACATTTGTTATTTCTTCTTTTTGATAACAGACATTCTTAGGGGTGTGAGGTGATATTTCATAGGTTTTAATTTGCATTTTCCTAATGATTAGTGACCCTGAGCACCTTTTCATATCCGTTGGCCATTTTTATGTCATCTTTGGAGAGATATCTGTTCAGATCCTCTGGCCATTTTAAAAATTGAGTTATTTGGTTTTTTGCAGTTAAGTTGTAAGAGTTTTTATAAATTTTGGATATTAACCACTTATTAGATATGTGGTTTGCAAATATTTTTTCCCAGTCTGTAGGTTGTCTTTTCCTTTGTTAATTGTTTCCTTTGCTGTGTAGAATCTTTTTAGTTTTACATACTCCCATTAATTTATTTTTGCAAAAGATCAGAATAAAAATAAATAGGGAATAAAAAACATAGAAAAAAATTAATCAAACCAAGAGTTGGTCATTTGAAAAACAAAACACAATTGACAAAGCCCTAGCTAGACTATGAAAAAAAGAAAAGATGCAAATAATAAATCAAATCAGAAATAAAAGTGGAGACATCACAACAGATGCATCAGAAATAAAAAAGGATTATAAGGGACTGATATAGTTTGGATATCTGTCCCTGTGCAAATCTCATGTTGAATTGTAATCTCCACTGTTGGCGGTGGGGCCTGGTGGTAGGTGTTTGGGTCTTGGGAGCTGTTCCCTCATGGCTTGGTGCTGTCCTTGTGATAGGGAATGAATTCTCACAAGATCTGGTTATTCTAAAGTGTGGCACCTCTCCCCTCCCCACTCTCTCTCTTGCTTTTGCTATGTTACATGCCTGCTCCCACTTCCCCTTCTGCCATAAGTAAAAGCTCGCTAAGGCCTTCCCAGAAGCCAAGCAGATGTTGGTGCTATGCTTGTACAGGCTGGAAAACCATAAGCCAATTAAACTTCTTTCTTTATAAATTACCCAGTCTCAGATATTTCTTTATAGCAATGCAACAAATAGCCTAATACAGAAAATTGATACCAAGGAGAGGGGCATTGCTATAAAGATTCCTGAAAGTGTGGAAGCACCTTTGGAACCTGGGTAATGGGCAGAAATTGGAAGAATTCACATGGCTCAGAAGAAGAGAGGAAGATGAGGAAAAGTTTAGAACTTCTTAGAGACTGGTTAAATGGTTGTGACCAAAATGCTGATAGTGATATGAACAGTGAAGTCCAGGCTGACAAGGTGTCAGATGGAAATGAGGAACTTATTGGGAACTGGAGCAAAGGTCACAGGTGTTATGCCTTACCAAAGAGCTTAGCTGCATTCTGTCTATGCCCTAGGGATCTGTGGAAGTTTGAACTTCAAAGTGATGATTGAGGGTATCTGGTGGAAGAAATTTCTAAGCAGCAAAGCCTTCAAGATGTGTCCTGGCTGCTTCTAACAACCTATGTCCAGATATTGGAGCAAAGAAATGACAAAATTTGGAATTTATATTTAAAAGGGAAGGATAGCATAAAAGTTTGGAAAATTTGCAGCCTAGCCATGTGACAAAGAAAGAAAAAGCTTTTTTGGGGGAGAGAAATTCAAGCAGGCTATGGAGCAACCACCTGCTAGAGATATTTGCATACCTAAAAGTGGGTTAAGTGTAAATATCCAGACAATGAGGAAGAGGCCTCAAAGGCATTTCAGTGATATTCATGGCAGCCCCTCCCATGACAGGCCCAGAGGCCTAGGAGGGAAGAATGGGTTCAGGAGCCAGGCTCAGGGACCCACTGCCCTGCACAGCCTCGGGACACTGCTCCTCACATCCCAGCTGCTCTGGTTTCAGCCTTGGTTCAAAGAGGTCCAGCTTAGGCCAGAGCTCCAGAGGGTGCAAGCCATAAGCTCTGGCAGCTTCTACATGGTGTTAAGCCTGCAGGTGCACAGAATGCAAGAGTGAAAGTGGCTTGGAAGCATCTTCCTAGGTTTCAGAGAATGTACGCAAAAGCCTGGTGTTCAGACAGAAGCCTGCTGCTGGGGTGAAGCCCTCACAGAGATACTCTACTAGGGCAGTGTGGAAGGAGAATGTAAGGTTGGACCCTCACCCTAGTTCTCAGCCAATGACTTCACCTGTTTTCTCAAATGGAAAACCAAAACAATCACATAAACATTCCATTTTCCCAGTATTCAAACTGCCCACTTATTTGGATCAGTAACTATATACTTGGCCTCCTCTTCTGTGCCTAATTAAGGGATCCTCCCTGCTCCTATCAAAGACAAAACTCTACCTGAGTGCTCTGGATCCTGGCCTCTGTCACCATCACAGTGACATTCCCTCCTGCAGTCATCTTCTCTCTTTACCTCACAATCACTTTCTACCTCTACTAGATCATTCCTGTTAGGGTACACACATGACCTGCTATATCTTTTCCTAAACAATAAAACCTCCTTTAACCTCCACATCCCCCAAGGCTCATCCCCTTCTCAACCCATCACTTTGATCTCTATTCCCAACAAAACTTCTTGAAAGAGTTATGTTTGTTGCTTTTTTACTGCACACTCTTTCTGAATCCACTCCTCTTGAGTCTTGGCCCTCTCTTTTTCCCTGAAACTACTCTCACTATGGTATCAATGACTTTCATATGGCCAATTCCCCTGGTCACTTCTTTGTATACATATATTTTTTCTTTTTTAAAAATTGAGGTAAAAGTCATTTATCATAAAATTCCTATTGTGTATAAATTGGCCAGCCTGAAGTATTTTGTTATAGTATCGGAATGGAGTAAAATACTTAAATTTTCTATGTCTTCGGTTTCTTATATTTAAGTGGGGATTTCATACACAGACATACATGCATACATATACACACACACACACCTCTTATCATGCTAGGTATTATTTACTATCATGTACGTTATTGTTGCTTTCTCAGTGGTGAATTGCATAGCAATCCTATTTCTGTTAAACTGGAAGCCTCAAACAATTTTGTAGCTCTATCTTGGTTAAGATACTATTTTAGATTTTTTAACTTCTCTGGATGAATTTGAAAAAAAAAAAAAAGACACCAGGAGACTAGTGACACAGTGGGAGTGAAAAACATGTAATTTCTTAGAAATAATCATGAAAACCTGGTTTACCAGAAAGCCTTAAGAGAACACAGGCATAGTTTAAGGAAACCCTGAAAATGATTTTGTGGAATGTAAGAAATCCCTGCACATCAAATATGTGTGAGTCACTGCAGGAATGGAATGGTACAATGTATTTTACCTTTAATATCGTCATTTCAACAATCATTTGGTGCTAACAAGCATCCGGAATCTTCATTAAGGATACATTTTACAGAAAGAGGTTTAAAATTCTCCATGTGTAGTGTTTCAAATGGCTGTCTCTGAATCAGGTGGGCAAAGACAGAACAGCTCTCTCTCCAGAAGCAGGCAGGTGAACTGGTAGAGGCTTCCATAGCCTGCAGCGTGCCCAGATAGAGCACGTGCCTTGAAGGCCTCTTTCTGTCAATGGCACTTCCCTCTTTCTCAGTTCACTCTGGGCAGGATCCTGAGTGCAAATGTTGGTTTAATATACTGTTAAAAACCATTTCTAAAAGGATTATTTTAATTGTGACTTAAATACCCACCATCATTCATAATTATAATAAATGTAAATGGACTAGACTCACTGACTAAAAAACAAAATCCAGCTAGGTGTTGTTACAAGAAATATACCCATAACATGATGGCATTGAAAGATTGAAAGTAAAATAATTTTTGACAAAGCTACCAGGCAAATAATAACCAAAAGAAATCTAGGGTAGCCATATTAATATGATAAAAATACATTTTAAGTTAAAAAAGCATTATTAGAGATAAAGAAAGTCACTACATAATAATTCAATTCACAAAGAAGAAAAAAAGAATTCTAAATGAGCATGCATCTAATAAAACAGAATCAAAATACATAGAGGACTACAAAGAGAAACTGTCAGATATATTCTCACAATGCTGGATTTTAATATACCTTGCTCAGTTATTGATAAGTGAAGCATTCAAAATATTAGTAATGATAGAAAATATCTGAATAACATACTTAATAAGCTGAACTTAATAGATACACATAGAGCAAGACATTCTTCCCAGGCTCTCATGTAACATTTGCGAAAACTGACCATGTGCTAGACAATTTAACCCTCAATAAATGCTGAATAATTGGTTTCATATAAAATCTAGTGTCTGACCACAATAAAATTGTTAGAAATCTGTAATAAAAATAAAGATTAAACATTTACACATGTGAGTAAATTTTAAAATAATACATTCTAAATAAATTACGGGTCAAAAACAAAATCAGTCATTCCATAAACAAACTCATTTTAGGCTGACAGAAAAGCTATAGGTGTTCTAGTCTTGGAATATTGCCGTGTAAATTTATTCTGATATTTGGAAAACACACTATATTCTGCAATGATGCATTTGAATTTTTAGATTCATAAATAGAAATTCAATTTAAGAGGACTCTCTTGCTGTTATCTAAGATGTGAGAAGGGAGGGCAGTATTCTCTGTGCTGTTCAAATTAAAAGAGTTCCTATGTTTCCTTTTTCAAAGAGAGGGACATGGGGTGGCAGGAACTATTCCTTTAGTTAGCTGGGTATCTCAAATAAAAAGAATTTATATTTTCATTGTTTTCTATTTCTTTCTATGGTGCATTTCCTTTCTAAATTTTATCATTTTCTTCAAGAAACAAAAGCCTTTTAAGTTTTTTAGGGATTGTCAAACATCATTTTAGTCCAAATACTTCATTTACAGGTTGTTTTGCCCAAGATTGAATTGGCAGTTGGGGACAAATAGGGGACTAGAGTCCAGGTTTCAGGACTCTCAGGACAGTGCTCGTTGGGCTGGATAATGGTCCCTTGACACAGGAGTCCTGAAGGAAGGTTCCCTAATGTTCCAAAATTTGAACTGCTTGGGGTCACATCCCGAATACGTGTTTGGCTGACTCCCTTGCTGATGAAAAACTATTAAACACCAAGAAAGCTCTTCTTCTCTCCCCTGCCCATTTCCTCCAAACTCAATCTCTCATCCTCCAAATTCCTTTATTACCTCTTCCTGTGCTTACCTTTCATTTATAAAAAAATACATTTTATCACATCTACTTATTTGCCCATCAATTATAGACTATGCTGTGTACCCTCTAATTATTTATCTCTATCTAATAAGGGCTCTAAAGAATACAGCCATAGCTGCTTAGTTTTATAAGGATAATATCTAAAATGTCCTCATATTTTAAATATTATTTTAATTTTGAATCCCATACTTACAGAAAAGTTACAGGAATAGTATAAAGAACTATTTTGTCCCTGAGTCTTTTGAGAATAAGTTGCTACCCCAATGTCCCCCACTCATACTTTGTGTGTATTTTGTACGAATAAAAACACTTCTACATAACCACAAAACTGCCACCAGAATCAGGAAATTCACATTAATAGATCTGATTCTGTTATCTTGTATATGGAAACATTCAGATTTCCCCCAATTGTCCAATAACACTGCCTGATAACAAAGCATTCAAAATAATCATGAGTTCCATTTACTTGTCATGTCTCTTTAGTTTCCTTCAATGATCTGGATGCTAGAATGTCCCTCAATTTGCATTGCTCACGCCTTTGGGATTTACCAGCTCTTACCCTCTGGTCATCCATCCTTTTATGTATTAGCCTAAAGGATGACTTCAGGAGTAGTGTCTTTCATTATCTTGGGGTATTATTAGAGAGCTCCACCTACACCAGTTCAAGAAGGTTCTTACTGCTCTTGGGTAAAAACAAAGCTTTGATAGTAACAGGAGAGGGATCTTGCCACTTCCAGGTGCCTACTAATGATTCTTCCATGCAATCTGTTCCTGTTCCTGTTTACTGTAAGAAACAAGGACTCCTCTTAGGGAAGGGAAGCAGCTTGTGAAGTGAGTTTCCAGAAGCTCAGAATACAATGCTTTGTCCCAAATATTTCCCTGTACCCCCACCATCACACTTTATAAATCCCACCAGTGAAGGGTACATTCACACAGCTGAAGAAATCACTTCTCAAAGCAGCTGTTAGCTTCTTAGGATAAGGTTCAGGGGCTGCAAAGATGAGCACAGTGAAAAGACCGAAGCCCCGTTAGACACTCTAAGTGCTGGCTGGGATTCTGCCACCAACTTTCTGGGTGGCACTGGGTGAGTGACTTTCACTTTTCAGAGCCTCAGTTACTTCATCTGCAATGTAGACTAACTGATTTCTAAGGATTCCTTCAGCTCTAAATGTTCAATTATAAGTGAGAGCTCAGGAAGACATTCTTTGCTTATAGGTGATCGATAATTATTTGTTGAAAAAATGAAGTAAAAAATGACTTAAAAGCCAGAAGAAAATAGACACTTTGTGAGTCATGAATTTCACTCCTTTTAAAAATAATATCTGAGTAAGCAAATTCTTTTTAAGGGCTTTCAATCATGAGTAATTCTTTCTCAGGGAAAGGAGGGGAAAATAGAAGAAAACTTGTTTTTCAAAGAGTCTGTTAAGTCCCAGGAATGTTTTGTTTTTATTTCATCTTTGGGATTCCCTCTTTTATTTTTTATATATTTTTTAAATTGATAAAAAAATATATATAACAAAATTTCTTCTTTTGAATGTACAGCTCTATGAGTTTGGATAAACTCATTCAGCCATCTAACTCACACCTCAACTGAGATACAGAGCAATTTCATCACACTCCAGAATTCCCTCATATCCTTTTGTAACCAAGTCCTCCCTCCACCCCTTGGTGATAACTGACCTGTTTTTGTTCCTTCAGTTTTGCCTTTTCCAGAATGTCATATGAATGGAATCATTCAGAATGCAGCTTTTAAAGAACTGGTGCCTTTCAATTAACATAGCATCTTTGAGATTCATCTAAACTGCTGTGTGTATTATAATTTGTTCCTTTTATTGCTGATCAGTGTTTCACTGTACGGATGTGCTGCAGTTGGTTTATCCATTCATAGCTGACCAATATTTGGGTTGTTCCTAGTTTTTGAAGATTGTGAATAAAGTTGCTATATGTATTCATATGTAGGTTTTTGTGTGGACATATATTTTCACTTGACTTGGATAAATACCTAGGAGTGGAATTTCTGGGTTGTATGGTAAGTGTATATTTAACTTTATAAGAAACTGCTTATTGCTTCTCAGCCGTTTGGTGAAGATCAAGTGTGAAGAAACCACTCAACTGTTTTCCAAAGCAGATGTTCCATTTTGCATTCCCACCAGCAGTGTATGACAGTCTTAGTTGCTCCATATCCTTGCCAGACTTAGTATTAAAAAAAAAAAAAAAAAAAAAAAAACCAGCTGGGCGCCGTGGCTCATGCCTGTAATCCCAACACTTTGGGAGGCCGAGGCCAGTGGATCACGAGGGCAGGAGATCAAGACCATCCTGGCCAATATGGTGAAACCCCGTCTCTACTAAAAATACAAAAATAAGCCGGGCATGGCGGCGTGTGCCTGTAGTCCCAGCTACTCGGGAGGCTGAGGCAGGAGAATTGCTTGAACCCAGGAGGTGGAGGCTGCAGTGAGCCAAGATCGTGCCACTGCAGTGACCTGAGATCACGCCACTGCCCTCCAGCCTGGGTGACAGAGCAAGACTCCGTTTCAAAAAAAAAGAAAAAAAATTTATGCCAAGCACTTGATATCTATTTTTTAATGTGTTATTTACACAATCATATGAGGTATGCGATATAACTCCTGTTTCACAGTTGAAGAAACTGAGGCACAGATGTTAAGTATCTTAACCACTAAATGGCACTACATGGAGGGGGGGTTCAGATTGATTCTCATTCAGGCTTTGCTCCTAGCTAGCTGTGCAGTCTAGTCACTCAGTTCTGTAGGCCAGTCACTGTCTTCCTTTATAAATGAAGACATTAACTTCTGGAACAATTTCTAAGCTGATTTTTATTTTTATTTATTTTTATTTATTTATTATTTTAAATTTTATTATTATTATACTTTAAGTTTTAGGGTACATGTGCACAATGTGCAGGTTAGTTACATATGTATACATGTGCCATGCTGGTGTGCTGCACCCATTAACTCGTCATTTAGCATTAGGTATAGCTCCTAATGCTATCCCTCCCCACTCCCCCCACCCCACAACAGTCCCCAGAGTGTGATGTTCCCCTTCCTGTGTCCATGTGTTCTCATTGTTCAATTCCCACCTATGAGTGAGAACATGCGGTGTTTGGTGTTTTGTCGTTGCGATAGTTTACTGAGAATGATGATTTCCAATTTCATCCATGTCCCTACAAAGGACATGAACTCATCATTTTTTATGGCTGCATAGTATTCCATGGTGTATATGTGCCACATTTTCTTAATCCAGTCTATCATTGTTGGACATTTGAGTGGGTTCCAAGTCTTTGCTATTGTGAATAGTGCCACAATAAACATACGTGTGCATGTGTCTTTATAGCAGCATGATTTATAGTCCTTTGGGTATATACCCAGTAATGGGATGGCTGGGTCAAATGGTATTTCTAGTTCTAGATGCCTGAGGAATTGCCACACTGACTTCCACAATGGTTGAACTAGTTTACAGTCCCACCAACAGTGTAAAAGTGTTCCTATTTCTCCACATCCTCTCCAGCACCTGTTGTTTCCTGACTTTTTAATGATTGCCATTCTAACTGGTGTGAGATGGTATCTCATTGTGGTTTTGATTTGCATTTCTCTGATGGCCAGTGATGATGAGCATTTTTACATGTGTCTTTTGGCTGCATAAATGTCTTCTTTTGAGAAGTGTCTGTTCATGTCCTTCACCCACTTTTTGATGCGGTTGTTTTTTTCTTGTAAATTTGTTTGAGTTCATTGTAGATTCTGGATATTAGCCCTTTGTCAAATGAGTAAGTTGCGAAAATTTTCTCCTATTTTGTAGGTTGCCTGTTCACTCTGATAGTAGTTTCTTTTGCTGTGCAGAAGCTCTTTAGTTTAATGAGATCCCATTTGTCAATTTTGGCTTTTGTTGCCATTGCTTTTGGTGTTTTAGACATGAAGTCCTTGCCCACGCCTATGTCCTGAATGGTAATACCTAGGTTTTCTTCTAGGGTTTTTATGGTTTCAGGTCTAATGTTTAAGTCTTTAAACCATCTTGAATTAATTTTTGTATAAGGTGTAAGGAAGGGATCCAGTTTCGGCTTTCTATATATGGCTAGCCAGTTTTCCCAGCACCATTTATGAAATAGGGAATTCTTTCTCCATTGCTTGTTTTTCTCAGGTTTGTCAAAGATCAGATAGTTGTAGAAATGCGGCGTTATTTCTGAGGGCTCTGTTCTGTTCCATTGATCTATATCTCTGTTTGGTACCAGTACCATGCTGTTTTGGTTACTGTAACCTTGTAGTATAGTTTGAAGTCAGGTAGCGTGATGCCTCCAGCTTTGTTCTTTTGGCTTAGGATTGACTTGGTGATGCGGGCTCTTTTTTGGTTCCATATGAACTTTAAAGTAGTTTTTTCCAATTCTGTGAAGAAAGTCATTGGTAGCTTGATGGGGATGGCATTGAATCTATAAATTGCCTTGGGCAGCATGGCCGTTTTCATGATATTGATTCTTCCTACCCATGAGCATGGAATGTTCTTCCATTTCTTTGTATCCTCTTTTATTTCATTGAGCAGTGGTTTGTAGTTCTCCTTGAAGAGGTCCTTCACATCCCTTGTAAGTTGGATTCCTAGGTATTTTATTCTCTTTGAAGCAATTGTGAATGGGAGTTCACTCATGATTTGGCTCTCTGTTTGTCTGTTATTGATGTATAAGAATGCTTGTGATTTTTGCACATTGATTTTCTATCCTGAGACTTTGCTGAAGTTGCTTATCAGCTTAAGGAGATTTTGGGCTGAGACAGTGGGGTTTTCTAGATATACAATCATGTCATCTGCAAACAGGGACAATTTGACTTCTTCTTTTCCTAATTGAATACCCTTTATTTCCTTCTGCTGCCTAATTGCCCTGGCCAGAACGTCCAACACTATGTTGAATAGGAGTGGTGAGAGAGGGCATCCCTGGCTTGTGCCAGTTTTCAAAGGGAATGCTTCCAGTTTTTGCCCATTCAGTATGATATTGGCTGTGAGTTTGTCATAGATAGCTCTTATTATTTTGAGATATGTCCCATCAATACCTAATTTATTGAGAGTTTTTAGCATGAAGGTTGTTGAATTTTGTCAAAGGCCTTTTCTGCATCTATTGAGATAATCATGTGGTTTTTGTCTTTGGTTCCATTTATATGCTGGATTACATTTATTGATTTGCATATATTGAACCAGCCTTGCATCCCAGGGATGAGCCCACTTGATCATGGTGGATAAGCTTTTTGATGTGCTGCTGGATTTGGTTTGCCAGTATTTTATTGAGGATTTTTGCATCAATGTTCATCAAGGATATTGGTCTTAAATTCTCTTTTTTGGTTGTGTCTCTGCCAGGCTTTGGTATCAGGATGATGCTGGCCTCATAAAATGAGTTAGGGAGGATTCCCTCTTTTTCTATTGATTGGAATAGTTTCAGAAGGAATGGCACCAGTTCCTCCTTGTACCTCTGGTAGAATTCGGCTGTGAATCCATCTGGTCCCGGACTCTTTTTGGTTGGTAAGTTATTGATTATTGCCACAATTTCAGATCCTGTTATTGGTCTATTCAGAGATTGAACTTCTTCCTGGTTTAGTCTTGGGAAGGTGTATGGGTCAAGGAATTTATCCATTTCTTCTAGATTTTCTAGTTTATTTGCGTAGAGGTGTTTGTAGTATTCTCTGATGGTAATTTGTATTTCTGTGGGATCAGTGGTGATATCCCCTTTATCATTTTGTATTGTGTCTATTTGATTCTTCTCCCTTTTTTTCTTTATTAATCTTGCTAGCGGTCTATCAATTTTGTTGATCCTTTCAAAAAAACCAGCTCCTGGATTCATTAATTTTTTGAAGGGTTTTTTGTGTCTCTATTTCCTTCAGTTCTGCTCTGATTTTAGTTATTTCTTGCCTTCTGCTAGCTTTTGAATGTGTTTGCTCTTGCTTTTCTAGTTCTTTTAATTGTGATGTTAGGGTGTCAATTTTGGATCTTTCCTGCTTTCTCTTGTGGGCATTTAGTGCTATAAATTTCCCTCTACACACTGCTTTGAATGTGTCCCAGAGATTCTGGTATGTTGTGTCTTTGTTCTCATTGGTTTCAAAGAACATCTTTATTTCTGCCTTCATTTCATTATGTACCCAGTAGTCATTCAGGAGCAGGTTGTTCAGTTTCCATGTAGTTGAGCAGTTTTGAGTGAGTTTCTTAATGCTGAGATCTAGTTTGATTGCACTGTGGTCTGAGAGACAGTTGTTATAATTTCTGTTCTTTTACATTTGCTGAGGAGAGCTTTACTTCCAACTATGTGGTCAATTTTGGAATAGGTGTGGTGTGGTGCTGAAAAAAATGTATATTCTGTTGATTTGGGATGGAGAGTTCTGTAGATGTCTATTAGGTCCACTTGGTGCAGAGCTGAGTTCAATTCCTGGATATCCTTGTTAACTTTCTGTCTCATTGATCTGTCTAATGTTGACAGTGGGGTGTTAAAGTCTCCCATTATTATTGTGTGGGAGTCTAAGTCTCTCTGTAGGTCACTCAGGACTTGCTTTATGAATCTGGGTGCTCCTGTATTGGATGCATATACATTTAGGATAGTTAGCTTTTCTTGTTGAATTGATCCCTTTACCATTATGTAATGGCCTTCTTGGTCTCTTTTGATCTTTGTTGGTTTAAAGTCTGTTTTATCAGAGACTAGGATTGCAACCCCTGCCTTCTTTTGTTCTCCATTTGCTTGCTAGATCTTCCTCCATCCTTTTATTTTGAGCCTATGTGTGTCTCAGCACATGAGATGGGTTTCCTGAATACAGCACACTGATGGGTCTTGACTCTTTATCCAATTTGCCAGTCTGTGTCTTTTAATTGGAGCATTTAGTCCATTTACATTTAAAGTTAATATTGTTATGTGTGAATTTGATCCTGTCATTATGATGTTAGCTGGTGATTTTGCTCGTTAGTTGATGCAGTTTCTTCCTAGCCTCGATGGTCTTTACATTTTGGCATGATTTTGCAGTGGCTGGTACCGGTTGTTCCTTTCCATGTTTAGTGCTTCCTTCAGGAGCTCTTTTAGGGCAGGCCTGGTGGTGACAAAATCTCTCAGCATTTGCTTGTCTGTAAAGTATTTTATTTCTCCTCCACTTATGAAGCTTGGTTTGGCTGGATATGAAATTCTGGGTTGAAAATTCTTTTCTTTAAGAATGTTGAATATTGGCCCCCACTCTCTTCTGGCTTGTAGAGTTTCTGCCGAGAGATCCGCTGGTAGTCTGATGGGCTTCCCTTTGTGGGTAACCCGACCTTTCTCTCTGGCTGCCCTTAACATTTTTTCCTTCATTTCAACTTTGGTGAATCTGACAATTATGTGTCTTGGAGTTGCTCTTCTTGAGGAGTATCTTTGTGGTGTTCTCTGTATTTCCTGAATCTGAAGGTTGGCCTGCCTTGCTAGATTGGGGAAGTTCTCTTGGATAATATCCTGCAGAGTGTTTTCCAACTTGGTTCCATTCTCCCCGTCACTTTCAGGTACACCAATCAGACGTAGATTTGGTCTTTTCACATAGTCCCATATTTCTTGGAGGCTTTGTTCATTTCTTTTTATTCTTTTTTCTCTAAACTTCCCTTCTCGCTTCGTTTCATTCATTTAGTCTTCCATCACTGATACCCTTTCTTCCAGTCGATTGCATCGGCTCCTGAGGCTTCTGCATTCTTCACGCAGTTCTCGAGCCTTGGCTTTCAGCTCCATCAGCTCCTTTAAGCACTTCTCTGTATTGGTTATTCTAGTTATACATTCGTCTAAATTTTTTTCAAAGTTTTCAACTTCTTTGCCTTTGGTTTGAATTTCCTCCTGTAGCTCGGAGTATTTTGATCATCTGAAGCCTTCTTCTCTCAGCTCGTCAAAGTCATTCTCCATCCAGCTTTGTTCCGTTGCTGGTGAGGAACTGCGTTCCTTTGGAGGAGGAGAGGCGCTCTGTTTTTTAGAGTTTCCAGTTTTTCTGCTCTGTTTTTTCCCCATCTTTGTGGTTTTATCTACTTTTGGTCTTTGATGATGGTGATGTACAGATGGGTTTTTGGTGTGGATGTCCTTTCTGTTTGTTAGTTTTCCTTCTAACAGACAGGACCCTCAGCTGCAGGTCTGTTGGAGTTTGCTAGAGGTCCACTCCAGACCCTGTTTGCCTGGGTAACAGCAGCGGTGGCTGCAGAACAGCGGATTTTCGTGAACCACGAATGCTGCTGTCTGATCGTTCCTCTGGAAGTTTTGTCTCAGAGGAGTACCTGGCCATGTGAGGTGTCAGTGTGCCCCTACTGGGGGGTGCCTCCCAGTTAGGTTGCTCAGGGGTCAGGGGTCTGGGACCCACTTGAGGAGGCAGTCTGCCCGTTCTCAGATCTCCAGCTGCATGCTGGGAGAACCACTGCTCTCTTCAAAGCTGTCAGACCGGGACGTTTAATTCTGCAGAGGTTACTGCTGTCTTTTTGTTTGTCTGTGCCCTGCCCCCAGAGGTGGAGCCTACAGAGGCAGGCAGGCCTCCTTGAGCTGTGGTGGGCTCCACCCAGCTCAAGCTTCCCGGCTGCTTTGTTTACCTAAGCAAGCCTGGGCAATGGCAGGCGCCCCTCCCCCAGCCTCGCTGCCGCCTTGCAGTTTGATCTCAGACCGCTGTGCTAGCAATCAGCGAGACTCTGTGGTTGTAGGACCCTCCGAGCCAGTTGTGGGATATAATCTCCTAGTGCACCGTTTTTTAAGCCCGTCGGAAAAGCGCAGTATTAGGGTGGGAGTGACCCGATTTTCCAGGTGCCGTCTGTCACCCCTTTCTTTGACTAGGAAAGGGAACTCCCTGACCCCTTGCGCTTCCCGAGTGAGGCAATGCCTTGCTCGCCCTGCTTCGGCTCACGCACGGTGCGCTGCACCCACTGTCCTGCGCCCACTGTCTGGCACTCCCTAGTGAGATGAACCTGGTACCTCAGATGGAAATGCAGAAATCACCCGTATTCTGCGTCGCTCACGCTGGGAGGTGTAGACCAGAGCTGTTCCTATTCGGCCATCTTGGCTGCCCTCCTTCTGATTTTTAATATCTATTAATTCTTAACAAACTGGAGACATTGCTAATGGTTTAATGGATACCCGGAAGGTCATTATCATCTAATATTCATTACTCAAGCCCCCAAATTTACAAGGATTTTTAAAGCATCAGAACTTAAAAATATCTACTGATAAATGGTTGTGTATAAAATTAGTCCACCCTGAAAACTGCCTCTTTGCTGAATGCTAGTTTCTATCTCTGTCCATCACACTAAGAGTTCTGTTACCGGTGAGCTGTGACAGGGTAAACACAAAGTGCAAGTGCAAAGTAAACTGACTTCATTAAAATGGCACTGCAAAACTTGCAGATGCAGGATGTCACATAGTGCATGAATGTGTCCCCCAAGGTTCATGTGTTGGAAACTTAATTCCCATTGCAGCAGTGTTAAGAGGTGGGACCTGTAAGAAGTAATTTGGTCTTGAGGGCTCTGCCTTATGAATGGATTAATGCTGTTATTATGGGAGTGGTTAGTTAT
The DNA here is from genome assembly GCF_000001405.40 of Homo sapiens. Classification (NCBI taxonomy): domain Eukaryota; kingdom Metazoa; phylum Chordata; class Mammalia; order Primates; family Hominidae; genus Homo; species Homo sapiens. Next base: position 131,330,971 of record NC_000003.12, on the reverse strand, counting down.
TGTAGGAGTGGGTTCCTGATAAAAGGATGATTTTGCCCCCCCCCCTTCCTTCTCTCTTTTCCCCTCTCTCTTGCCCTTCCGACTTCTGCCATGGGATGATGTAGCAAGATGGCCCTTACCAGATGCTGGCACCTTGATATTTGACTTCCCAGCCTCCAGAACTGTGAGAAACAAATTTATTTTCTTTATAAATTACTCAGATTGTGGTGTTCTGTTACAGCAACACAAAATGGACTATGTGAAGAAAACCATGTTGGAATCTTGTGCTGTCATTGATAAGAAAGGATCTGAGCATTAGGTCAATCACCAAAAAACTGAAAAATCAGTAACAATGATGACAGACTCTTCAAATAGGATGATTTAAATTTTAGGAAATTGGAAGAAGACTCCAAGAAACTTAACAAGGTCCTCCAATATTTTCCCCAAAATGATCTTCTCTGATTTGACTATGCTTGTTCCTCCATATCTCCCTGATCCCTAGACTTCTTCTGTCCTCTATCCACATTCTCTCCCAAGGTGGGTCATCTAGTTTCATGACTTTAAATCCTCCCTTAAACTGTTGGTTCTCAAATATGCACTTGTCACTTCTCTCCTAAACTCCAGACTCATGTATTCAGCTACCTACTTGACACTTCTGTGTGGATGTCTAGTAGGTAATAATCTTAGAATTATTGTGCCCTGTCAAATTCCTGCTCTTCCCTCTAAAATATCTTAATACTATTCAGTCTTCCCCATTTCTGTTTATCTCAGTTCCTTTTCAGGTCAAAAACCTGAGTTATCTTTGATTCCTCTCTTTCTCTCACATTCTAGTAGTCCAGTTCCTTTCATAATCAGATCAATTAGTAAGCCCTATCAGCTCCATTTTTAAAATGTAACTAGGATCCCAACACTTCTCACCATTTCCACTACTACTCTGTCTCCCACCTGATTCTTTCAGGAGCCACTCGATTCGTTTCCTGCTTCTACCCTCACTACTCTACAGTCTATTGTCAGCTCAGCAGCCACGGTAAGCCTACTTTCACTTCCCTGCTCAAAACTCTATTGGACTCTTCATCTCAGAGTAAAGGTCTTTCCAGTGGTATACAATATCCAATCATATCTCTCCAGATTGCCTACCTTCCTCCCCTCACTCCCTCCATTCCGGCTGCACTGGCTCCTTGCTCTTCTTTGAACGCATTAGGCACATCCTGCTCCAGGACATTTGCACTTGATGTTCCCTCTAACTAGAATGCTCTTTCTCTGGATATTCATATGTTTCTCTCCTCATCACCTTCAAATCTTTTCCCTCATGTCATCTTCTCAGAGAGACATATTCTGACCACCCTCTTTAAACTGTAGTCTTTACCAATATTCTGTACTACTTATTCACCATCTCTGCTTTTGTATTTTCTTCTTAGTATTTGCTACTTTCCAGCATGATCTGCTTTTCCCTAATATTTTATGATTTATCACCCATTAGAATATAAGGTCCATGAAAACACGAAAAATATTTTCTTTTTTTTTTTTTGACTGATCCCACTGCCTAGAACAGTGCTTGGTGCATAGTAATTAGTCAATAAATATTTGTTGGATGAATGAGTAGATGTCTTGAAAGTCAAATAGGAAGGAATATGGTGATGTCATACAATTTTATTAAAAAATATATGCATCCCTAGTATTCTAAGAATTAGCACATAGTAAAGTTATAGCCTAATTTTATAAACTCTAAAATCACTTTTATGGTTTTTAGCTGCTGTTTTTCAAGATAAAACTCCAAACAAGTACAGTTTTCAGTATTTCTTATGATATATTCATCATTATTTCAAATGCATTGGCTTTATGGGGCCTGCACAATCATCTTTAGATAAAAATGACCTCTTATATTTCTGGGTGACTAGACACAAGCCTTAATTAATTTTTAAAAAGGGATTCTATGCAGAAGGGACAGTGTTTCTGCCTGTCTTCTTTCACACTTTGCACACCCAGGCCATCTGGAGTGAAAATGAAGTCTGCCCAGAGCTGCTGGAAGCCCCAGCTGCCCTGCTGCCCATGGAGTCCTCTGAGGACGACTCCAGAGTCCCTCAACTCCTTGGAGGAGATAAGCAGCCAACACAGTGTTGTTCAGCAGATGCCACCGTCTGCCATGTAAGTTAAATAAGGCAGACAGCAGCAGCTAAGGAGATTTTAGCCTCCTGTTCTAAACAGTATTTTAGCTTAACAGCAGAAAACGTTTAACATGTTCCCCCACTCCTAGAAAAACAAGCAATTTATCTTCAGGGAGAGGGAGAAAAAGCACTTTCCACCATTCTGATGGGTCATCAAGTTTAAAAGCTCTCTTATCCCTAAACCTTTAGAGAAACTAACAGAAAGTATGTTTCCCTTTCCCTGCAGCTTATTTACCTTGCAAATTGTTTGTCTGCCCGGAAGTGCTACAATAATGGCTACATATATATTTTTGTTTCCAGATTCATTAATGATGTCAGAAGTGTAAAACTAAAGGCAGAAGACTGTTGTTTTCAAGATTGCTCCCCAACTAGGCTTGGCGACCCTTGAAGGCAGAGGACCTTTCTGAGTTATCTTTGTACCCTGCATAGTCCTGGCACAAAATAGCACCTAAGTCATTCATTTAGCAAATTTTTTAAAACAATATTCCTGTCATGACACATTCAGCAATTATTTATTTATTTATTTATTTATATTATTTTTAGAAACAGGGTCTTGCTCTGTCACCCTGGCTGGAGTGCAGTGGTGCAATCATAGCTGCAACCTCGACCTCCCAGGCTTAAGTGATCCTCCCACCTCAGTCTGTAGAATAGCTGGGACTACAGGAATACACCACCACAACCCAGCTCATTAAAAAAAAAATTCTGTAGAGACAAGGGTGTCTTGCTATGTTTCCCAGGCTGGTCTCAAACTCCTAGCCTCAAGCAGTCTTCTCATGCTGGCCCCCCAAATCACTAGAAGTACAGGCATGAGGCACCATGCTTGGCTATAAGCACATTTTTAATGAGCACTTAGTATGTGCCACATGCTGCAGATGTAGCCACAAGCCTCTGACCTCACAGACCTCATATTAAACAAGTAAACAAATAAGGTAATTTTAGATTTTTTTCAGTGCTACAAAATAAAAACAGGGAAATAGGAGAGAGAGTAGAGAACAGGACTTTGAGAAGAAAGTCTGGAATCCCCAAGAAGGTGGGTGTCAGAAAAGAGATTTGGCACAGACCCCGCCCCTTTTTTTTTTTTTTTTTTTAACCACCAGGCCCTGGAATTTGAACCACCATCTTCTGGAGTGACTCAAATGCAGAGGAAGCCAGGCCTGCTGCTAACGTTTCTGAGAGGCGGCAAGAGTATAAATGGAGATCCACATATGTATAAATAAAGAGTGTGAATCAAGCTAACAAACTGTTTAATAAAATATGATCTACCCTCTTAGCTTGACAAATCAACTTTTCAAACACCTGGAAGAACAAGTTTGCACTCAGGATTCTCAGACTCCTCAGAGTTCTGCACTGGGATGTGGAAGGGCTGTGCAAGCCAGCCCTTGGGTCCCTGATCCCTGTCTCCTGGCCTGTGCCCGTCTCTTCTCAGCCTGGCTCCAACTCCCATTGAGAGGAAGTTCTTGTACACATATGATACTGCAGCCCTTATGTCTAATATTTATCCATACCTTCTGCAAACAGCCACTGTGTGACCACCCTTGGGCTTCCCAGGGGTCTGCAAACTGACAATACAGACAAAGGGAACCAAGGCAGAGGCTCACAGACTGTAGAAATGGGCTTGGGGCCATCTGGGCAGAGACTTGTGGAATCCCAGGTAAGCAGGGCATCTTAGTTTGCTTGTGCTGCTTAAATACTATGGAAGAGGTAATTTATAAATATTAGAATTTATTTCTCAGAGTTCTGGAGGCTGGGAAGTCCAAGGTCCAGGTCAAGGTGCTAGCAGATTTGCTGTCTGGTGGGAGCTGCTCCCTCTGCTTCCAAGATGGCACTTTTTTGCTGTGTCCTCTGGAGGGGAAGAAAGCTTAGACGGGCAAAAGGGGGCAATTATCTCTCTGAGACCTCTTTTGTAAAGGTATTAATCCATTCCTGAGGGCTCTGCCCTCATGACTTAATCACTTTCCCAAAATCTCATCTCTTAATACTACCTCAATGAAGATTAAGTTTCCATATGAATTTTGAAGGGGTCACATTCAAGCCACAGCACAGAGCATGACCTAGCAGAGGAGACGCAAGCTCTGGGTGTGTAAGTCCCCTTTGCTCCATGGACTTCGTGCTTCATGGGAAGGGATGTGGCTGGAGGGTACCCCTCTACAGCACAGGGCCCAGAGCACCCCTCTTGCCTTGGGTTTAGGGATAGTATAGGTGGTGGTGGTGAGGCTACTTTTGCTCATTAAGAAAAGCCTCTTTGAGGGGTGGGACCGAGAATGTCATTTGAATGGAAACTTGAATCATAAAGATGAGTCATACAAGCCAAGACTTGGGAGAAGGGCATTCCTAAATGAGAGAAGAGGATATGCCCAGCTCTCATAAGCTCTGAAGAAGAGTCACCAACTGTGGTGGGTGGAGCCTAATTAAGAGGAGAAGAATGGTAAGAGACAAGGTGAGATGGTCAGGCAGGAGCAGGGAGCCTGGAGGTCAGGTAAGGGGGCTTGACTTTGCCATGGGTGCAATGGGAAGCCTCTGGAGGGTTGATATGATTTGAATTCTGTTACAGCACGATCACTCTGGGTGCTGTGTGAAATGGATGAATAGCAAGGAGCTGCAGCCAAGAGCAAATCAACAGAAGCACCACTCAAAATGCCTCAGTACCCATTACATAAGGATTCTTGTGATTAATTCTTCCCCAAAATTTAGAGCCAAGAAAAATCCAGCTCTCCTACTGAGAGTTGTAGATTAGAGCTTCTGTTTCTAATCTACAAACAAACAAATGTGTGCAATGTCTTTTCATGACAATTCCAACTTTATCATAAGGTTGTCTACTAAGAAACTAGTAGGCAGGTTTCTCTTGTTGTCTAGACCACCTGAAAGCTCATAGCTGAGTTTGCACTTATTTGCAGAGTAAACTGCTCATTTATCAATCTGGCATCCAATCACAACTTTTTAGCTAACTGTATGTTTTCATAAACACTTTTCTCACACAGTATAAATTTTAAATAAATAACAATAGCAATTAAGTAGTAACAACTCGAGACTGGTATCTGACTAGTGGTTCTTTCACCAGTGTGTACACTGGAAGTTTTGTTTTGTTTTTTGATGTTTGTACATTGTAATTGCAGGACAGGTAGTAAGAAGATTTCAAATTCACATTAGCTTTGCTACCACTAAATTATGGTGACTGTTCCTAATTTGCAAACAAATGTATGCAATCTCTTTTTATGATTATCCCAACTTTATCATAAGGTTGTTATATTTTAAGACATATGAAAAGATATAAAGTATAATACAGTGAATACATATATATCTAACTCCCAGTTTAAGAAATAAAACATTAGCAAATACAGCTGAAGCTCCATGAATTCCCCTCCCAAATCATACTCCCTTCCCACCCGCAGAGGGAACCTCTATTCTGAGCCTGGTGTTTATCACCACCAAGAATTAAAAAAATACTTTTACTATATATACACAAGTATGTACCCCTTAGAAATGAGTAGTAGTACTGTTTTGTATGTCTTTACACTTTAAGTAAATGGTATAAGTTATTTCTTGTTTTTGCTCAAAATTGTTGAAATTTATGCCCTTTGATTCTATAGCTGACTTTCACTGTGAGTCATTCCATCATTATTTCTGTATTCATTCTCCTGCTGAAGTACATTTCAGGTTGTTGCTATTCCTCTGCTGATCCCCCTCCCCCAACACACATGCTTTTATTAATAAATCTGCTGGAACATTCTTGCATACATCTCCTTGGATGTGTTGTATCATAAACCACAAAATATACTGAGCTTTTCAGACACAGGTTCTACATTAAGTCATTATTTTCAGATTGATTTACCATTGCTCATATTCAATCCTTTAGAATGGCCTCAAGAGGATATTTTATAATATTGGAGCACAATCCAGAGAGGGACAGAGTAATTTTAAAAATCAGAATTACAGAATTTTTTTAAATCCCTGTAAGGTACCAAGGAGCTCACCTAATCGAACACCTTCATTTTATGGACAAGAAAACCAATGCTCAGAGGGGGAAGGAGTTGTCTAGTAGTGAGCACTGGGCTATCGGGGGAAGCAGATACCTTCATTGAGCCTCCACTGTGATGGACATGTGTACAAACCATAAAAATAAGCCCCTTGCTTTCCCTTCTGTTCTCTAAGCCTCACTAAACAATGTGCCATGAAACATAGCCCACTTGATGAAGTCCTTCCTGAATGAATTACAATTGTGCTTCCTTTATCAATTCAAGCCACACTTTTTTTCATTTTTGAAGAGTCAATTTCACCACAGCTTTACTGAAGTAGAAGCAAAGATCAGAAGATAAAATAGATTTCTTTACCAAGCATAACTAGAATAACTAGATTTACAAAGGACAATTTTTTAAAAATCACAAAGGAGAAAATAGAGCATAAAGTTGGAAGAATTTCTCAGAGCAAGGATGAGTTCCCATGACTGGGAAACTATTCAGCTTCCTTAGTTAAGAGTGAATTTTAAAATCTGCATTTCATTTGGTGAGTTTCAACAAGGACTCTTTCCTTGACCAAACCTTAATCATGTTCCTCTGAGGCCTCTTCTTGACTAGGCCTGGTCCTGGCCGGCAGAGCCCAGCTCAGCAAGAATCCCCCGACCCTTAATACCTAACCAAATTCTCTTAGTAATTTCCTATCCACTGACCCCTTCGCCATGCCCATTGGCCATAAATCCCCAGCTGTCCCTGCTGCAACCAGAGTCAAGATTAATCTCTCCCCTGCTGCAGTAGTCTTGAATAAAGCCTTCCTTGCCTGTTTAATTATGTTTCATGCTTTTTTTCTTCAACAGATTCACCTCCCAATACCACACTGTCACTGAGTCCTTCATCCCAAACTGCCTGTAATTAGGATGGCCATGTGTAGCCGTTTACTGAGACAGTCCCAGTGCATGCCTGACACAGAAGCACAATAACCAATGGCTGCCCAATCTACTCTCAAAAGTGCCTTGGTTTGCACAATAAATTGTCTTCACACACATGAGGTGTGAAATTTACTGGCTAGAGACACTCATTAAGAAGAGGACTTTAAAAATGGTGCTACAGCAATATACACAGAACAAAAGCAAATTCATGAAACTAGAACACTCCCTTTTTCATAGTGCCTCCAGAGGCATAGTTACATTTGATTTATATCATATTCTATCCAAGTTAAGTGTTTCACCATAAATAAAAATTGATTTTCACGAATTTCTCATTCAAACATATTCATACAATGCCTTTATTATGCCTCTCCTTTGGCAACTACAAATGGGTTTATTATAGAACACTGGCCGGAAATGTGACATGCATTCCAGAAAGAGAGGAAGATGGGGGAAGGAGACAGGTAGAATGGAGATAGATAGAAAGAGACCAGGAAGGCCAAGGTAGTATAGGCTTCAGGAAAAACAGCTGAGATTGGGGAATCGATACCTCATTTTACAGAAATTGCATTAAATGACTGAAATGAATTTGCAAAACAATAATTGAGGCTGACACCTGCTCTTGACAGAAGGGATGAATCAAGACTGAGCTGTGCTTTAGCACCTGCTGTGGTGAGAAAGAACAAGAGGGGAACTGCTAAAGCTTTTTGCCTAGAAATGCTGAGTTTTTTAATTGCTTTCTGAAGCCAAAAGAGAAAATTCCTCGTTAAGGTGGGGTTTGCTGAGTGATTTTTGAGCAATGGTTTGTTTGTTTGTCCTAGCTACTTCCACGTATTTGAAAACATTTGCAAGAGGCCCTTATTCTGCCAAGCTTTCTTAGGTCTGATGGAATGAGATGAGAATAACAACTGCACACTCAGTGAGTAGGATCTCAGGCATGGGCTTTCAGACATAAGATGTGATGCAGGGGAGAGGGGAACAAGTTAGATCATATAATCTCCAAAGTTTCCTCTAACTGGAAAGTCTAAGGTTCTGCCATTCAGTGGACTCTCTACATGGGTTTGTTAATCCCATTTTACAGAAGGAAAGATTCAAACAAGGAGAGAGCAAGGACAATGAAGGGGAGCGGGGGCCTCTTCATCAGTGCTCAGTATGTGACCCACAGGGTCAGACTGACAATTTAGAAAAGAGGAGCCAAGGCCATCACAAGGATGCTCTGCTGAAGCCTCAAGGAAACGTGATCCCACCAGCAGCATTGCATCACATGTGAGCTGCTTAGACATGCAGAATCTCTCACCCCTCCTCAGACCTACTAATCACAATCTGCATTTAATGAGACCCCAAGTTCTTCATATACACATTAGAGTTCGAGAAACACAGGCTCTGGTTTGCATTTCTCTGATGATTAGTGATGTTGAGCAGTGATTACATTTATAGTAGCAAGACTCTAGAAAGTAGTTACAACTATGAACTAGCTTTTTAAAAATATAATTGCAACTTTATTTTAGATTTGGGGGCATGCATACATGTGCAGGTTTGTTACATGGGTATACTGTATATTGTGTGATGCTGAGGTTTGGGATATGAATGGCCCGATCACCCAGATAGCAAGCATAGTACTCAACAGTTTTTCAACACTTTCCCCTTCTCTTCCTCCCTCCTCTAGTGGTCTTCATTGCCTATAAGTGACAACATGTGGTATCTGGTTTCTGTTCCTACAATAATTTGCTTAGAATAATGGTCTCCAGCTGCATCCATGTTGCTGCAAAGGACATGATTACATTCTTTTTTATGGCTGCAGCATATTCCATGGTGTATATTTACCACATTTTCTTTATCCAGTCCCCCACTGATGAGCACCTAGGTTGATTCCATGTCTTTGCTATTGTGAATAGTGCTGCGATGAACATACATGTGCATGTGTCTTTTTGGTTGAACACTTTGTTTTCTTTTAGATATATACTCAGTAATGGGATTGCTAGGTCAAATGGTATTCCTGTTTTAAATTCTTTAAGAAATCTCCAAGCTGCTTTCCACAGTGGCTGAACTAATTTACATTCCCACCAACAGTGTATAAACCTTAGCTTTTCTCTGCAGCCTCACTAGCATCTGTTGTTTTTTGATTTTTTGATAATAGCCATTCTGACTGATGTGAGATGGTATCTCATTGTGGTTTTGATTTCCATTTCTCTGATATTTAGTGATGTTGAGCATGTTTTCATGTTTCTTGGCCACTTGTATGTCTTCTTTTCAGAGGTGTCCATGTCTTGCCCATTTTTTAAATGGGGTTATTTGGTTTTTTGCTTAATTATTTAAGCTCCTTAAAGATTCTGGATACTAGACCTTTATTACATAGTTTGCAAATATTTTCTCCCATTCTGTAGGTTGTCTGTTTACTCTGTTGATAGTTTCTTTGGCTGTGCAGAAGCTTTTTCATTTAATTAGGTTCCACTTGTCAGTTTTTGCTTGTGTTGGAATTGCTTTTGAGAACTTATTCATATATTATTTCCCAAGGCTGATGTCCAGAATGGTGTTTCCTAGGTTTTCTTCTAGAATTCTTACAGTTTGAGGTCTTACATTTAAATCTTTAATCCATCTTTAGTTAATTTTTATATATGGTAAAAGGTAGGGATCCTGTTTTATTCTTCTGCCTATGGCTAGCCAGCTATCCCAGCACCATTTATTGAATAGGGAGTCCTTTCCCCATTGCTTATTTTTGGAAGACTTTGTCAAAAATTAGACAGCTGTAGGTGTGAGGCTTATTTCTGGGTTCTCTATTCTGTTCCATTGGTCTATGTGTCTGTTTTTGTACCAGTATCATGCTGTTTTGGTTACTGTAGCCTTATAGTACAGTTTGAAGCCGGGTAATGTGATGCCTCCAGCTTTGTTCTTTTTGCTTAGGATTGCTTTGGCTATTTGGGCTCTTTTTTAGTTCAATGTGAATTTTATAATAGTTTTTTCCTAATTTTGTGAAAAAATTCTGTTGGTCATTTGATAGCAATAGCATTGAATCTGTAGATTGCTTTGGGTAGTATTGCCATTTTAACAATATTGATTCTCCCAATTCATGAATATGGAATGTTTTTGTATTTGTTTGTGTCATCTATGATTTCTTAGCAGTGTTTTGTAGTTCTCTCTGTAGAGATATTTCACCTCCTCTGTTAGATATATTCCCAGGTATTTTATTTTTTGTCTCGCTATTGTAAATGGGATTGCCTTATGAACTAGCATTGACATAGAATTCTGACATTCTTATAGGATCAGGCCAGCTTTCTAAGCTGGGAGGCATTGTTTCCCATACAGCATCCTCTACTGAAATACTAAGCTTTCTTTTTTACAATATGAGTTTAAATCTGGTAAAGGTACTGTAGAAGGAGTTACCATCAATTTCAGGCTACAGCTGTCTTTCCTTCTCTCTCTCTCTCTCTCTCCCTCCTCTTCCCCATCTCTGGAGGACAGATTTGCATTAATAATAGTTTTGATTTTTAACACATTGTTAGTATTAATTAGTCTACTGTTCTATGTCTTAAGAGGAGAACACCAGCCTTGCATGAGATGGAGATTATGAATCACAGTTTGTTTGGTAGTTTGCTGGATCTCCTTGTCCACATTTACTCCTGACTTCTAATTCTGCATTGGCTAGAATTTTCTTTGCTTAACTAAGCAGGAAACCATTTTCTCTTTAATTTGGGTACTACTACATTCTAATTTTATTTTACTGATGATCTGACTAGAAAGTGACAACCAAGCATAAACCTGTGTTAATAATTTAATTTTTCTTTTATTTTCTTTGTATCTGGGGAAGGTACTGCAGAAATTATTTGTTGTAAAACAGTTTTGATAAGATCTAACATATGGGCAATCCTGGGGAAGAAAAAAAAGAATTAAATCACAGGTTTTATGTTGAGCTATATGGAATTGCCATTTTTACAGGTTAAAAACAAGTCAAATATGGGCAATTTCATACAGTTCAGATTAATTAGAATATTTTAGTTTAGAATTTCTTGACAAGAAATATTGAAAAAATAGAAAGTGCTGTTTCTGGAGGCTGCATTGTTTATTTTACTTGGAGACTTGTTTTTATGAAATTAAAAAAAAATGTTTTCAGAGGCTAGATAACCATCTTTGTATTCTAAGCCACCATAAAGAATAGTGTATTAGAAAGTAAGGTTCAGTTATAGATTCAGGATGAATGTATGTGTCCTTGAAGGAGATTTATTTTTTGCATGTGTGAAAGAAAGGTAGATATAAATGGTGCTAGACTTTGACACCAAAAATTAGGGCAAGTTTCTTTTCTACTTCCTTGTCACAGTCAGGTAAACTCTGATAGGAGTAAGAAGAGAAGATATTTCCCCTACAGACCCACCACCAAGTTACCACCACTCTAGTTGGAAGGTGGGAGAGTATTTGAATATTTCAAAGCAAAGTAGTCCCTTTTTGGTTAATTATTACAATCATACTATAAGCATGCTGAGTCTCCATGGCACTCTGGGCATAATTCTATGACAGCCTGAACTGCATCACAGTGTAATTGTGTGTTTCAATGTCTGTTTTTCCCATACCAGCCCAATATCACACTTTGAGTAGTAAAGTAGGAATCATGCTTATTTGTAATGATGTGCCTAGTGAGTGCCAAGGGAGCTTAGCACACAGTAGGCATTAATAAGTATTTTCTTTCAAATGTAAAAGTTTGTTAAATAAATGACTTTTAATAACAAGTCACATTAGAAAAAATTGATTATATTAAAAATCTTTGTGGAGTATGGAAATCAATTTGGCAATAAGTAAGAATCCTGTGAACTAGTAATTATAATAAAAGGTCACATCTATGAACTAGTAATTACAAGATATTTATCTTAGTCTGAAATTTGAAAATAGCATTAGGTAAAAAAAAGTTTATGTCAACATTATATATGAGTTATAAAACTGAAAACAACCCAAAAACCCAAGAGTACAATATTATATTATAGAGAAATTAATGATGTTTTTGGAATATTTAATCATATTGGAAAATGCTCAAGAAAGGTGGGTCAAAAATAAAAAATGATATTAATGTCCTGCTTACATTAGTTCAATTAGCATTACATCACCAGAATGTCCTAAGTTATTCAAATTTCTACCAAAATAGTTTTTGTAATGGCTATAGAATATGCCATTGGATATAAATATTATAAATTATCAACTGTTTTATAAATATATATATATATATATACACATGTACACACGCATACTAAACAATGACATATGGATGAGATCATATATGCCTATTGTTCTGCATCTTCCTTTTCTCGGTTAACAATATACTCTAGAGAGCTCACCACACAAGCGTGTGCAGATCTTTCTCACTTCTTTTTAATGCCAGGACAGTATGCATTTGCAGAGATATATGTTGACTTTCCAAAACAACTCTTATTGATACTTTTAGGCTATTTATAGCTTTTTGTTATTAAAAAAATTCTGTAAGTATATACCTTTGATATATGTTTTTGTGCATTTATACAAGTATTTATATAGCATAAATTCTGAAATTTGCTGAATTAAAGAGAATTTTCACTTAAAAAATTTGAACAGACGTTGCCAAATTGCTCTCCAAATTATCACACTAATTAACATTCTCTTCTGTATGAAAGTAACTGCTTCATTTTAAAATGGAAATAATGAATGGGATATATTTGTGTTTATGTATTTGTTTGGGATTGAAATAGAGCTCAAGAACGCCAATGATACTATGGCACAACTGAAGTAGGTTTTTCTCCCTCCTTCCCTATCTCCCTTCCCACCTCTTCTTCCTCTTCACCTTCCTTCAATTTTTCTTTCCTTACTTCCCTCTTTCCCCTCTTCCTCCTTTCTTTCCCATCATTCTACCTTAGTATTTTATCTAATGGGAGAAGAGATAGAGGAAAAATTAGACTGAAGGACAGTGAAGAATCTGAAGAAAGCAGGAAATGGGCTTAAGTTGGAAGCAGACTGTTGGGAATACATGGAAATCTGCAGAGTGGAGCAAGTCAGACATACTGAGGAGGACGGACAGTTTGGATATGATTTTCTCATCTGGGGAACTTGTTTAAAAATGAGGTCTGCAGTAGGGCCTAAGATTCTGCATTTCTTTCTCTCGTTCCCTCCCCTCCCCTCCCCCTCCTCCTCTCCTCCTCCTTCTCTCCTCCTCCTCCTCCTCCTTCTCCTTCTTCTTGGGTGGGGGTAGAGACAGGGGTTTCACTATGTCACCCAAGGGTTTCACTGTGTCACCCAGACTGGTCTTGAATTCCTGGCCCCAAGCAATTCTCCCGTCTCAGCCTCCCAAAGTGCTAGGATTACAAGCACGAGCCACCACAGCTGGTCAGATTCTGCATTTCTAATGGGACCTCCAGTGATACTGCGGCTCCTCATCTGGGACCACACTTTGAGGAACACCAATTAGTTGCCATAAATTATAGGCAGGAGTGTTCCTAATCAGTGGTAAGGACTGTGATCATCACTATTTACAGCCAAGGATGCCTCCTGGAAATGTAACAAGGGGATGAAAGCAATGAGTGGGAGCAGTGTATCACTACTGCTTCACCCATCAGTTGCAACCTGTGCTGAAACCAGCACCAGGACCAAACAGCTGCTGCACTCATACCAATGCTTAGTTTTTCACTCTGGCAGGAACCCTTATTGAGGAATCAGGTCAAATTTTATTCGTTTCATCTCTAAAGCTCTGTCACAGAGTCCTTCAACATTTCCTTGATTCACATAATATCTGGTGCTGCTGACACTGTCCTAGGTTTAAGTGGCAATTGCTTGCCTTAGCTTCAGTCCTGAGGGTGCCCACAAACTGCAGCTGGTAGGATGGAAGCCTCACCCCATTATTTTCTATATTGGATGAGATGAACAAAAAGGAAATTATTGCCTAAAGGCCCAGCATTAAAATAGTTTGAGTCCAAGCTTGCAAGCATCTCAACTTTCATTTGAAATTTTAAGCCATTTTTAAGCTCCTCTATAAACTCTCCATGTTCCACTGAAATAGTTTTTGAAGTGTTACATTCCAGCAAAGTTAGGATTGTTCCTATATGCTTTGGAACCAGGTGCTTTTATATTTAATTCTTCCTGTGTAATAGTTTCTTTACCATCAGTTTTTGCAAATCAAGGAAAGTACAAATGCTAACTTCAAAAAACTCGCAAGCTGAAGTTGAGAGGAATATTTTCTTCCTCTCTGATCTAAGCCAGACAGTGTTGGATGCTGGCATGCCTAGGTTTTCCCTCTCTCAGTTTCCATCTAAGGACAGGATGACATAAAGATACTGTTTTTAAAGTATCAACAAAAAAAGCAAAAACAAAGAAAAACAAAAAAGCAAAAACACACATAATCAAAATACAGGCAGGAGCTCAGGCTTGGAGCCTTAAGAAAACTAGTTAATGCATATATTCTCATTTACAAAATATAATCAAAAGGACAACACTCAGAATAGCACAGGTCTTAAGAACTTTGTCACCCAGTGAAGCTGTTAAATGTACCTTCTGTGTCATGCCTAGGATGATGGCACTTGCATTCGAGAAATAGGTTCAATGTGAGTAAAACTGTGTGTTTCTCTAAAGCTGGGGAGGGGAACAGGCATGCAGGGTTAGCTTTATGAGTGACAGATACAAATTAAGGACACACAAGAAAAGTTTCTAATATGGCAGTATTCACTTTAGATTTTTCTCTAATTAAGGATAATTTTAAAATACAGTGATTAGCAATTAGGTTGTTTTATGCTTGATTCATGCTTTTATTTGAAATAAAAAGTTCTGTTTAAGTAGAAAATAAGATAGGCATAATGTTTTTTTCCTTTTTCAGAAAATTAGGCTGTTTGAATCATATGTTTATAGTAACCACAGAACTACTGTCTGTCTACCTGGTGTATGAAACAAAACAAATAGCCTTTTGAGAATTTTCTTTGTATATCCATATATAGAAAGCCATAAAAATATTTATGCCTTTGTACTGATAACTAAAAAAATAAAAGCATACCATCAATAACAGACTGGATAAAGAAAATGTGGTAAATATACACCATGGAATACTATGCAGCCATAAGAAGGAATGAAATCATGTCCTTTGCAGGGATATGAATGGAGTTGGAAGCTATTATCCTCAGCAAACTAACACAGGAACAGAAAACCAAACACCACATGTTCTCACTTACAAGTGGAAGCCGAATAATGAGAATACATGGACACAGGGGTGGAACAACACACACTGGGGCCTGTCGGGGGTTGGTGGGGGAGGGATAGCATCAGGAAAAATAACTAATGGATGCTGGGCTTAATACCTGGATGATGGGATGATCTGTGCAGCAAACCACCATGGCACATGTTTACCTGTGTAACAAACCTGCACATCCTGCACATGTACCCCGGAACTTAAAAGTTGAAGAAAAAAAAAAAAGAAGCATGGCAAGATATAGAAACAACCTGTGTTTACTGATGGATGAATACACACACACACACACACACACACACACAGGAATATTATTCAGCTTTAAAAAGAGGAGATCCTGCCACTTGTGACAGCGTGGATGAACTTAGAGGACATTGTGCTAAGTGAAATAAGCCAGACACAGAAAGAAAAATACTGCATGATCGGAATCTAAAAAAAGAAAACAGATTGCATACAGCACATAGAAACAGAGAATAGAATGGTGGCTGTTGGGGGGAGGGATTAAATGGGAAGATGTAAGTCAAAGCATACACAGTTGCAGGTAGGATGAATAGTCTAAAGATGTAATATACAACATGAAGACTAGAGTCAGAAATATTGTATACTGGTAATTTGCCAAGATAGTATATTTTAGGTACTTTTATTACATACACACAAAGAAACTATATGAGATGATGGATATGTTAATTTGCTTGACTACAGTAATTACTTCACTACGTATGTGTATATCAAGGTACATGTATCAAAACATCATGTTGTATACCTTAAATATGTACAATAAAAAAGAAGTGAAATAAAATATAATAAGCTCCTCAGTAATTTCCATCCCTTAAGATAATTTATAAGTTATTTGTTTGTTGCTTTTTAAACTATTTAACTTGAAGCTTGTTTGTCTGCTATATTTGGCATTGAATAATGAGTGAATAATGTAATAAAATATATTTTAAAAACATGAGTATGGGAGCTTAGAAAGGCTTGTCCCAGGACAACTGAAGTCAAGGCTGTTTTCCACCTATGATGCTGAAGGAATTGCTCAAGTTTCATGGTGAAGCAAGAAACACAGAAGCATGATATGCTCCAAGAATGTTTTTGGTGTGTGGTGGGCAGGCAAGTTGTGCCAGTTTTTCAGCTATTATCTCAGCTCCAAGCCCACTCTTCTGTATGCCACCTTGTGATGTTGTGCCCAAGGCTCTGCCAACCCTATTATAGCTTTCCAGCTGCTTCCTACTAGGTAGGCTCTGCCAATAGGAAGTGCTAAAGAGAGATTGGAAAGCTGGAAGAGAAAAAGACTTATCCTACAGTTTCTGTGAATGTCATGGTGAATGACAAGTTGAGAATGGCTGGGTAGGATTCCTTTTCAATATGTAACATTCTTAAGCATAGAGGATTTTCTCAAAAGATTTGTTGTGCAATTTGATATTAAATCAGCTACAGGTGGAACAACCTGGTCCTTGTGTGGAACATCAGAAATGAGCACAAGAGA
Organism: Homo sapiens; assembly: GCF_000001405.40. Lineage (NCBI taxonomy): Eukaryota > Metazoa > Chordata > Mammalia > Primates > Hominidae > Homo > Homo sapiens. Next base: position 131,314,289 of record NC_000003.12, on the reverse strand, counting down.
ACACAGTATTCTTGATGGTTGTTCCATGAGTTTCCACCTCCAGCTCCTGCTGTCGATGCTGTAACAGCACAGAAGATAAACAGTAACGTGGTGCAAAATTGTGGTTACAGTATTCTACAACTTCCTTAATGCAAGACACACACACACACACACACACACTCTTTTTCTCCATGGATAAATTGGAAGAAAGCAATGAGATATTTCTGGAGAAGAATCTGGAGATTACCAATCAGAATACTGGGTATAGTTAAACAAAGAGAATTAGATGTCATTACAAGAATAAATGCCAGCATTATTGAGTTGGCAGCTGACATCTATTTCCCAATATATTGTACTGAAAAGTAAATATACCTTAACTTGAAAACCTTTTAAATGAGTTTTAAAAATTGCCAATTCATTTATTGTTAGGAAAACGCACAATGTTGAAATGCTACTTGGTTCATATGTAAACCTGTGGGGCAAAACTGTTATTCCAACTTTGCGCTAAAATGCTACTGTTGTAAAAGCAGTGTTTGTTGTAAAGTCCCCTTCTTGAAAATTCCTAAGATTGTTTTGTTTGTGTTGGTTTAAAACAGCAAAATTTTGCATGGAGACATGGTAATATGAACATTTTCAGATGTGTTGCTCTGTCTATAACATAGTGAAAACTTCCTATGTCTTACTTTTCAGAAGAAGATATACGTGTGGCCAACAAACATATGAAAAAAAACTCAAGATCATGGATCATTAGAGAAATGCAAATCAAAACCATCATGAGATAGCATCTCACACCAGTCAGAATGGCTGTGATTATAAAGTCAAAAAATAACAGATCCTGGTGAGGTTGCAGAGAAAAGAGAACACTTACACACTGCTGGTGGGAGGTAAATTAGTTTAACCATTGTGGAAAGCAGTGTGGAGATTCCTCAAAAAGCTAAAATAGAACTACCATTCGACCCAGTGATACCATTACTGGGTATGTAACCAAAGGAATATAAATCATTCTATCATAAAGATACATGCATGTGTATATTCACTGCAGCACCATTTACAATAGCAGACATGGAATCAACCTCAATGCTGATCAATGGTAGAATGGATAAAGAAAATGTGGTACATATACACCATGGAATACTATGCAGCTGTAAAAAGTGAGATCATGTCCTTTGCAGCAATATAGATGGAGCTGGAGGCCATAATCCTTAGTGAACTAACACAGTAATAGAAAACCAAATGTCACATGTTCTCACTTGTAAGTGGAAGCTAAATGATGAGAACACATGGACCCAAAGAGGGGAACAACAGACGCTGGGGCCTACTAGAAGGTGGAGGGTGGGAGGAGGAAGAGGAGTGGAAAAAATAACTATTATTGGGTAGTAGGCTTAGTACCTGGGTGATGAAATAATCTACACAACAAACCCCCCGACACGAGTTTACCTGTATAACAAAGCTGCACATGTACCCCTGAACTAAAAAAAAGTTTTTAAAAAAACTTTTGTCTACTTCCCTTACCTCTAATTTTTAGCCTTCCTATTTGAACTATTCTGAAACAGGTGCTCATGAGCATCTTAGGGGTTCTGAAACTTGGCTGAATCACCCTTGGCCCTATTCTAGATTAGTAGGGATCAACTTGAGTTTGTGCTGTTTGTTACAGATGTAGAAGGTACAATTATGAGGCTGAGTTGACTGACCATTCAATAAATATTAAGTGTCTTCTAAAGAAACAGATTCAGGCTATGAATAGATTCCTCAGAGGAAGGAGCCCTGGAGCCCACACTCACCCTGGTACCCACACTATACATAAATTGCCTGGACTAGTTCTCAGGAAATTTGGATTCTAGGTCTTCTCTGTACATATGTTGAAGCTTAGAAGATACTTGTTTCATCTGTAAAATGGGCTCATGTCTACAATGATTATCCCACCCTCACTCCCCCATTGCCCCAAGGTCATGGCTTTCCATGAGTCCATTATGCTAATCACTTAACGTGTTATCTAATTATTTCAACCCTGGAAAGCAGGCATTGTTATCCACATTTTATAGATGACTAAATTAAACCTTGAAGAGGTAAAGCAACCTGCCCAAGATCATAAAATTGTTTAGTGGCAAGAAAAATCGGAGTCCAAGTCTCCCTGACTTAAAGAACCGTGCTCCTAACATCTCAGGGCAATGACACATCCTCATCCAACTCCACCCTTCCCCATTTTGGCTTTACATGCCCTCTCTTGGACAATTCAAATTTTATGGACAAAACCCATGTCTTCTTGGGTGACTGTGGCCTGGTTGCCTTCCGAGCTTTTCTATATATACCTGGTAACTATGGCAGGTTCTAACATTTTCCTAAGATACGTTACCCAACCAGTTATTTCAAATCAAAAATAAATTCAAATATCTCTAGACTTTGTGGGCTTCCATTGAATTTTTCAGCAGCTCTCTAAAACAACAGACAGTGGTTTACAATTTTTGCTAAATCTTTATCTTCTCTGGGATGTTTATCACTAGATTTTACTGATTTGCATACAACAAATATTTGCAAGAACTATACTCTTCAAACATATTCCTTTCAGTGCTGCTCTCAAGTCTCACTTCCAAGCGGCAAACGTCAGCTGCCTTAGCACACTCTGTAACACTTCTGCTCTTCCACAATCATCCATGTTTCTAACATTATTCACTCAGCAATATTAAGCCAACACCACAGAATACAACAAGGTGCTTCTATTTGCTTTGTTGCATTTAATTCAAGGTTCATAATAAACCAATGAGAGTAGGCAGCATTAATGATCTTTTACATTTAATGGAGCAGGAAGAGGAAGCCCAGAAAACTTAGGCAATTTGCCCAAAGCTACAGGACTAGTAAGTCACAGAAGTGATTTAAAAGTCTTGGGCTTTCTTGTGTGGGGTTGAGGGGGGTGAACAAAGGTTGGTTAATGGATACAAATATACAGGTAGATAGAAGGAGTAAGTTCTGATGTTTGACAGCAGAGTAGGGTGACTATAGTTAACCACAATGTATTGTATATTTCAAAATAGCTACAAGAGAGGACTTGAAATGTTCCCAACACATAGAAATGATAAATGCTCTAGGTCATGGATATCCTAAATACCCTGACTTATTACACACTCAATGCAGGTAACAAAATATCACATGTATCCCATAAATATGTATAAATATTATGCATCGGTTTAAAAACTTTTTGAAAAAAAGTGCAGGGCTTCTAAATCTCCTAAAGCTGATATAATTCTGTACATATTTACTTAAGCAAAGGATGAGGGATCCCAGGAACCCCACTAATCCACAGGGGAGTTATGAGAGGGGAAAATAGCTATCAGGGTCAATAGATATTTCCTTCTCTCCTAACCATGGCTTAGGAAGGAGGTCTATGATGCTCATGCTGTGGAGCTAGAAGCAATTACTAGGCTGCATATTTTCAGACATCCCGTCAAGGGTATTGACAACAACAGCTTAAAAAATGAAACACCTTCATTTTAGGGCACAGTCTGGGTGATGCAAACTGCCTAAGGTGCTGCATTAATGTTGCTGTGTGACTCCTGTCTTTTCCTGCATTTGTCATTCTTCTGTGCAGATACACACTGTATTTTTTTTCTGCAGATGTTTTAGAAGCAGCCAAGAAACACATCTCCCTGCAGCTGACACTCAAAAGGTGTGAATATCAGCACCTCTGACATCGCTTTTCACTTTAAAGTTTGAAAGTATATCTGTCATGTATAAAGTAAAAGTAAGAAACAAAGAAGAAAAATTGAGATGCAAGGGATTTTTAAAATAAAAATCTTTAGAAGATAATAGCTAAGTCGTTCATCAGTGAAGTTGTCTACAAAATATCTCGCATCTAATCCTGAAAATTAGTCTTTGAGGTCTATGAGGTATCTCCTGTAATCACCTCGTATTAATCATCACATTAAAACCCAGTTCCTCACTGGAGCCTTGCATCTTGTCCAGAGAAAACAAACCTATGGGCACCTGAAAACTGTCCCTAGAACCCATTTTTCTTAAGCCTAATCACAATCCATTTAGGATAATCAAATATCTGAATTATCATAAATTAGTGAGCAAACTTTTGGAGACTCAAGGGTACAATAGAGAATAAATACTTTTTATGACCTCATATTTCATTCATTCATCTATTCACTCACCCAACAGCTATTTATTGAGCACTGAACTTTGTGCTGGGGAATCGGCAGTGAACCAATGAATCCTGTCTAAATCATGTGTCTTTTTTTTCGATAGAAAAATGCAATAAGGAAATCATGTAATCATATCTACAGGTTGTTTTTTTTTTTTTTTTTTTTTTTTTTTTTTTTTTTTAAACATGGTCTCATTCTCTCACCCAGGCTGGAGTGCAGTGGCATGATCATAGCTTACTGCAGCTTCACTCTCTCAAGCTCAACCGATCCTCCTGCCTCAGCCTCCTGAGTAGCTGGGACTACAGGCATGTGCCACCAAGCTTGATTAATTTGTCTTTTTAATTTTTAGTAAGAATGACTCTTGCTATGCTGTCTAGGTTGATCTCAAGCTCCTGAGCTCAAGTGCCTTTTAAAATAAAATGTTTTACCCTCTTATTTCTGAACAAAAGGGTAGTTTTATTTATAGAATTCTTCAGGCTGTCTGGCAAAAGACCCACTTCCTTAATTTACTCAACATCCATTCTTCCACTTCGGCAGATAATATTGTCAAAAAAAAAAATAGAAAGCATTTTTCTTGTACCCAGATGTTCCAGTTCATAAAGAATCTTGGTGTAATTTTGAGACGTAATGAAACATCACTGTTTGGGACTTGTGTTTAATGAGAACATCTTCCTGAGCTACTGCAAGTAGGAGGAGAGGAGGTTGTTTTAAGACATATATGCTTCTGACAGTAGAAGATCCATTTTACCCTGGATTTCAACTAGGAAATGACTCTATGCCAATGATTACTTTTTTTAACAATCCAAATAATAATGCCAGAGCCCAGCTTATGTTGCTTTGTTTCTTCCCCCAAAGATTCAATTAGGAAAGAGTATGTGAAAAATGAATTTTAAAATGCCTTTCCCAGGACCACAGCAGTTAGAACACTTACACAGACAACAAGAATCCCAAAGTTAGAGAGTGATACAGGCCAAACAAACAGCAGAAAGCATTCTGGGGGGATTAAGTAACACCAAGCATTTCACCTAGTGCGTTCGAGCAGGGGTCCCCAACCCTTAGGCCGCGGGCCAGTACCAGTCCATGGCCTGTTAGGAACCGGGCCACACAGCAGGAGGTGAGCAGCAGGTGAGAGAGCATTACCACCTGAGCTCTGCCTCCTGTCAAACCAGTGGCAGCATTAGATTCTCATAGGAACACAAACTCTGTGGTGAACTGCATATGCAAGGGATCTAGGTTGCGTGCTCCTTATGAGATTCTAACTAATACCTGGTGGTCTGAGATAGAACAATTTCATCCTGAAACCATCCCCCACCCTACCCCCACCCAATCCTTGGAAAAATTGTCTTCCACAAAACCAGTTCCTGGTGTCAAAAAAGTCAGGGACAGCTGCGTTAGATGATGCACAGGTTATAGAAATCATCCAATGGCAATTACACTTAAATTGAGTCTTGAGAATCCTCAGGTGCGTGTATAAACTTTTGCAAATTATAAAAGGACTCTGTTACAAAGAATAGATTATCCTAGTTCAGAGTAGAATGGGACATGCAGAAGACCATCAACAAAATGTGTACCATATAAGGAAGAGAAAAATGTAGACCAGATGGGAGAAGTCATACAGTGAGAGGGTAATTCCTAATTCTTAAAGACAGGGGTGTAAATTTATTGTGTTCACTTACTCTTGTCCTCTGCCCCCATTCACTTAGCCATCAGAATTTGTTTTTATCTATTTTTGCATTCATAAATTATTCTCATGCCAGAGTGTAAAGTTGATTACACACAACAAATCCTTGAGCTGCTTTAGACAATTCTGAGTTAAGAACTGTTTTATTGTATTAAGACTTTCTTGACTATTATGGGTAAGATTCTACTGCCTAAAGAATAGGCAAACCAACCCAGCAGAACCCCTTACTAAAGACTGATGAGGCTCCATGTTGAGTTACTAATGGATGCTATTCTGCATCTTGCCTTTCTTAGAATATCAATAATAGTAATTGTGCTTTAACACTCCTTGATTAAGAGGTGACCATAAAAATAGAAAGTCAAAACACAGTTAATTAATGCATGACAGTAGAGAAGCATACTCATCAAATCAGCCAAGGGCATTCCTGTCATTTATTCCTCTGAGAATTTAAATCAAAATCTGCCTTCAGTTATTTTTCCTTCTTCAAGTGTCACATATTTTTAATTTTAAAAAGTGAGAAGCAAACATTTAATTTTAATTAAAACCAACAGATTATAAATTCTCTAGGTACTTGAAATTTTACCACTGAATAACGTTAGACCCTTGGAAGGCTACATAGTTTAGTTCATTATAGAACAGCTTTTTGTCACCAAAGAAACCGCCTTTACAAAATTCACACTGCAGTTCATGCAGAACTATTGAAGATATTGCTGTGCTCAATATGCTCTATATAAAACATCACATGATAAGCTCTGTCTTCCCTGAAGAACTGGCAGCACATTTGCATTCTTGATAATGAGAACTAGGAATTGTATCATGTTTTCCCTTTTTGACCTGGCTTCCTGGAAGCTCAAACTATATATTCACACAACAACTATGGTCAGCACACTGACTTCCTCACCTTCCCTTTGATCTTCACTTTCTATAGATATTACTTTGTTATTAGCCTTACTATATATTGCATTTTATGTAAAAGGGGATTAAATAAATGTCTCTCAGATAACTCTAATGAGTTAAGCCCTGCTCAGCAAAATGTGCTACACATATGCATCAACTGGCAACTTGATTTTCAAATCCTTTTGACAAAGAGTTCGGGAACAAATATATTTTCAAATGAAATAGACTTTCAGTCTCTCAAAGGCAAAGACTATTCTATTTCTCTCTCCACTTTATAGCAGTAAGCACTATTCTCTGCAAACGCAGTGGCTCAGTAAAGGATACTGAAGGCAACAAGAGTTAACACTTGTTTATTGAGGGTTTGGTTTATATTTCTTGAAAGTTGATATAACTTGGGAGGCTATTTTTAATCCCAAAATAGGAGGTACAGGATACGAAGAAAGGTGGAGGACTTCTAGTTTCTCATTTTCCATGAAAGTCACTTAGAAGGCATCACTCCCTCCTAATAAGTAAAAGGCTGAACAGAGTTTTAAAAAAATCAACAACTCTTTTAGGATCCATTAGAGAGGTGAGGACACAGGGCAAACCTCTGCCCCCAAGATTGGAGACACAGGCAGGCAAATCCATGGAGTCATGGCTTACCAGAGGAAACTCACAAGTAGAAACCATTGCGGGGACCAGTGCTGGGGTAGGAAAACATGAACTGTAACTGATGAATTCCTGGAGGCTCAGTGTGGACAAATCAGAAAGTTAAAAGCTCCAGGTAAACCCAGTTATACAGGGTCCCCATAATTGAGTGAGATATACCTCCAGGAGCTTGACTATGTTATCCCAGTAAATATGGGAGAAACAGCTCTCCATGCTTCCAGTAGGGGGAAAAGAGAAGGAACCATTTTGAACTATGTCAGTGCGCTCTGTTCTTCTTAGCAAGCCTTGCTCTTAGGAGAAGTTAGTTAACCAGAGCCTAATCTACTAATCAGAGCCTAACTGGCCCAGGTGAAAGAAAATGTCCAACTCCAGTTAGTTCTAGCCTTCCATGTGGAAGAAGAAAAATAACCAGCTCTAGCCCACTCAACATGAGAGAAGGGAAATACCCAACTATAGCCCACTTTAGCCATCTTGCCCCTGAGAAACTGAGAACTGAGAAAGGCTTACAAAGTTCACAGCCAGAGGCACAGACACATTTAAAAGCAGAGAACTTATTCCTAGGAGTGTAGAATGCTTCTCCTCCCCCTACACTTACTGCAACATTACTAAAGGCCCATTTACAGCAGAGTTTTTACTCAGTGTAACATGTTTGGTTATCAAAACAAAAATTATAAGACATATTAAAAGGTAAAAAACACACTTTGAAGAGACAAAGTACCAGAACAAGACAAGGCAGGGATGTTGAAATTATCAGACTGGGAATTTAAAACAACTATGATTATGCTAACTCTAATGGATAAAGTAGATAGCATGTACAAAAAGATGGGCAACATAAGCAGAAATCTTAGGATTTCTTAAATCCTAAGAAAGAACCACATTTCATAAGAAATCTTAGGATTTCTTAAATCCTAAGACAGAACCAAAAAGAAATGCTAGAGATAAAAAACAAGGGCCCAAGCCAAAATGGCTGCCTAGACACAGCCAAGAGGAACATATCCCATCAAGAGACGGGGACACTGGGAAGACTGGGACACTCCAAGCAGATCTTTGGAGAGAAGGCATTGAGAGTGGATAGAGGGAGGACCCAGATGCTTAGCTGTAAGGGGAAGAAGCTGGGAGCCCTGCGTGGGGCTGTCAAGAACCAAGACTCATTCCTAGCCCCAGTGACTCTGAGAAAGGGTGAGTTGAATAGGTGAGGAATGGCCCACTCTTGCCATCAACCTCTGGAATTCTAGCAGCAGGAGACCCCAAGATCTCAAAGGACACTTGAGCTGGCAGGGAGAACTGTTCAGAGAGGTGGACGGGGTGAGATTCCAGCCTGTGCAGAGCCAAGAGGGTTTGGTGTAGAAACATCTGCAGTGGAGCCAGGGACAAGACATGCCAATTCCCCAAGGCTCACCATGCTCCTTTAGGAGACTTTAACCTTAGGGAGACTGTTGGACCTAGGCAGAGCAGGGCAATCTTGCCTGTGGAATGGGGCCAGTCCAATCTGAGCACTCCTGTGTCTGCTGGCTTCTCCTGGGGCCCCACCCTCACCATGCCTGCTAGCAGTGCAGCCTTGGATGCCCAACCAGGATATTTCCCAGAGGCCCTCATCATAGCTCTTTCACCAGCAGGCCACAGTTGACTGTTGGAGAACTCCAGCAGACCTGCCCCTGCCAAAACACACCAGCTCACCTGAAGCTTCCCTTTGCCGTTTTGTTAGCACGCACTCACCAATGACCTTCTTACAATTGTTTGGCTGCCATGCATGTGTAGACAGACCTTCCCTCCCTCCCCCGCCAGTGCACACACCATAGCACTGCTTCTGCTGGTGTGAGCGTACCCCACTGCCCCCTCCACCAATGTGTGGGCACCCCACCATGCTGCCACCACAAATGCATGCACAGATGTTGGAAATCCCTCCCCTGCTGCCACCAGCACAAGCACACACACAAATGCTGGCAACCCCACCCCTGCTTGCACCCCACCCAGCCATGCCATCACTGCCACCAGCACGAGTGGGTGCAGGAATGCCATCACTCCATTCCCAATGGTGCTCCACCCCAGCTGACACATGTATACCCCATGACTATGTCTCAGCTGATGGCATGTGCGCGTGAACACAGATCCCACTGCCATTGCCCCAACAGAACTCTTTGGCCAGCACCAACTATTGGCATGTTGTGGCTAGCAGACCGGGAACACCTCAACACCCCCCTAGTGCAGCAGGTTCCTAACCTCAAGGGTCCAGAGAACAAAGCTCAGGCACTGGTACCAGCCTCTAGAGTTAGAGCACACAGCTCAGCTTATTCCATAAACAAAGCCAGATGCCTGAAACCACCCTGTACCACAATCAAACTCCCAAGGGCATCAAAGACGATAAAAGCAAAAAACCCATCCACAAGAAAGCAACTTCAAAGATTGAAGGAACATCAGCCCACAAATATGAGAAAGAACCAGCACAAGAACTCTGGCAACTCAAAAAGTCAGAGTGTCTTCTTACCTCCAAATAACTGCACAAGTTCCCCAGCAATGATTCTTAACTTGGCTGAAATGACAGACGTAGAATTCAGAATATGGATAGAAAAGATCATTGAGATTCAGGAGAAAGTCAAAACCCAATCCAAGAAATCTAAGGAATACAATAAAACAATACAGGAACTGAAATATGAAATGGCCATTTTAAGAAAGGACCAAACTGATCTGATAGAGCTGAAAAACTCACTTCCAGAATTTCATAATACAATTGCAAATAGTAATACCAGAATAGACCAAGCTGTGGAAAAAATTTCAAAGCTCAAATGCTGGTTCTCCAAATTAACTCAGACAAAAATAAAGAAAAAAGGATAAAAAAGAATGAACCTCCAAAAATATGGAATTATGTAAAGAGACCAAATCTATGACTCACTGGTATATGTGAAAGAGAGGGACAGAAAGCAAGAATTATGTAAAGAGACCAAATCTATGACTCACTGGCATCTCTTAAAGAGAGGGAGAGAAAGCAAGCAATTTGGAACATATATTTAAGGATATTGTCTATAAAAATTTTCCCCACCTTGCTAGAGAGGCCAATATTCAAAATCAGGAAGTGCAGAGAACCCTTGTGAGATACTATACAAAGATGAGCATCCCCAAGACACAGTCCTCAGATTCTCCAAGGTCAAAATGAAAGAAAAAATGCTAAAGGCAGCTAGAGAGAAGGGACAGGTCACCTACGAAGGGAACCCCATCAGGCTAATGGCAGACCTCTCAACAGAAATTCTACAAGCCAGAAGACATAGGGGGCCTATATCCAGCATTTTTAAAGAAACAAAATTCCAATCAAGAATTTCATACCCAGCCAACTAAGCTTCATAAACAAAAAACAAAAACACAACAACAACAAAAAACCCTGAGATCCTTTTAAGACAAGCAAATTCTAAGGAAATTCATTACCATCAGACCCACCTTACAAAAGGTCCTTTAGGGAGTGCTAAATATGAAAAGGAAAGACAGTTACCAACTACCACAAAAGCACACTTAAATACATAGACCGTTGACACTATAAAACAACTACACAATCAAGTCTATATAATAACCCCAGCTAATAACATGACGACAGGATCAAGTCCACACATACCAATATTAACCTTGAATGTAAACAGACCAAATGCCACAATTAAAAGGCACTGTGTCGAGTTGGATAAAGAAGCAAGGCCCAACTATATGCTGTCTTCAAAAGACCCATCTCACATGCAATGGCACACATAGGCTCAAAGTAAAGGGAATGAGAAAAATCTGCCACAAAAATGGAAAACAGGAAAAAGCAGGGGCACTATTCTAATTTCAGACCAAACAGACTTTTTACCAACAATAATCAAAAAAGACAAAGAAGGGCACTACATAATGGTAAAGGGTTCAATTCAACAAGAAGACCTAACTATCCTAAATATATATGCACCCAACACAGAAGCACCATGTTCTGAGAGACCTACAAAGAGACTTAGATAACCACACAATAATAATGAGAGACTTCAACACCCCACTGACAGTATCAGACAGAGCACCGAGGCAGAAAACAGATATTCAGGACTTGAACTTGACATTTGACCAAAAGGACCCGACAGACATCTACAGAACTCTCCACCCCAAACAACAGAATATACATTCTTCTCATTGCCACATGGCACATACTCTAAAATCAAACATACAATCAGCCACAACACAAATTCTCAGCAAACTGAAAAAAAATCGAAATCATACGAACCAAGCTCTCAGTCCACAGCACAATAAAAACAGAAATCTCTAAGGAGATCTCTAAAAACCATATAAGTGCATGAAAATTAAACAATCTTCTCCTGAATGACTTTTGGGTAAGCAATGCAATTAAGTTAGACATCAAGAAATTCTTTGAAACTAATGAGAACAAAGATAAAACATACCAGAATCTCTGGGACACAGCTAAAGTAGTGTTAAGAGGAAAGTTTATAGTGCTAGATGTTCACATCAAAAAGTTAGATCTCAAATTAACAACCTAACATCACAACTACAAGAATTAGAAAAACAAGAGGCAAACCAACCCCAAAGCTGAAGACAAGAACTAACCAAAATCAGAGCTGAACTGAATGAAACTGAGATGTGAAAAACCTCCAAAAGATTAATGAATTCAGGAGTTGGTTTTTTAAAAGAGTAAATAAGACTGATACACCACTAGCTAGAATAATAAAGAAAAAAATGAGAAGACCCAAATAAACACAATTAGAAATAACAAATCGGACATTACCACCAACCCTATAGAAATAAAAAAAAATCCTCAGAGACTACTACAAACATATCTATGCACACAAACTGAAAAACCTGGAAGAAACTGATACATTCCTAGAAATCTACAACCTCCCAACATTGAACCAGGAAGAAAATGAACTCTTGAAAACAGACCAGTAATGAGGTCCAAAACTGAATCAGTGATAAAAAGCCTACCAACAAGAAAAAGTCCCATACCAGAGAGATTCACAGCTGAATTCTTCCAGATGTATAAAGAAGACCTGGTACCATTCCTATGGAAACTATTCCAAAAAATTAAGGAGGAGGGACTCCTCCCTAACTCACTCTATGAGGCCAGCATCATCCTGATACCAAAATATGGCAGAGACACAACAATACCCTGATGAACATAGATGCAAAAATCCAGGATAAAATGCTAGCAAACCAAATCCAGCAGCACAACAAAAAGCTAAACCACCATGATCAAGTAGGCTTTATTACTGGGATGTAAGGTTGGTTCAACATACACAAATCAATAAATGTGATTCACCACAGAAACAGAACTGAAAACAAAAACCACATGATCATCTCAATAGACGAAGAAAAGATTTTTGAGAAAATTCAACATATGTTCATGTTAAAAATCCTCCACAACAAACTAGGCATTGAAGGAACATATCTCAAAATAATGAGGCATCTCTGACAAACCCACAGCCAACATCATACTGAACAAAAAAAAAAAGCTGTAGCATTCCCCTTGAGAAACAGAACAAGACAAGGATGCCCATTCTCACCATTTCTATTCAACAAAGTACTGTAAGTCCTAGGCAGGGCAATCAAGAAAGACAAAGAAATAAAAGGCATCCAAATAGGAGAAGAAATCAAACTATCTGTTTGTAGATAATATGAGTCTATATCTAGAAAACCCCACAATCTCTATTCAAAAGCTCCTAAATCTGATAAATGACATCAGCAAAGCTTCAGCCTACAAAATTAATGTACAAAAATCAGTAGCATTTCTATAAACCATCAATGTCCAAGCTGAGGGCCAAATCAAGAATGCAATCTCTTTCACAATAGCCACGGAAAGAACAAAACACCTGGGAATATAGTTAACCAGGGAGTGAAAATTCTGTACAGTGAGAATTACAAAACATTGCTCAAAGAAATCAGAGATTACACAAGCAAATAGAAAAAATATTTCATACTCATGATTAGGAAGAACCAATATTGTTAAAACAGTCATACTGCCCAAAGCAATTTACATATTCAATGCTATTCCTATCAAACTAATAATGACATTCTTCACAGTATTACAAAAAACTATTTTAAAATTCATATGAACCTTAAATAGAGCCCTAATAGCCAAGGCAATCTTAAGCAAAAGAACAAAGTTAGAGGCATCACATCACCTGACTTCAAACTATATCAAAAGGATACCATAACTAAAACAGTATGTACTGGTACAAAAAACAGACACACAGAACAATGGAACAGAACAGAGAGCCCAGGAATGAAGTCACACACCTACAACCATCCGATCTTGGACAAAGTTGACAAAAACAAGCAGTGGGGAAAGACTTCCTATTCAATAAATGGTGTTGGGATAACTGGCTAGCCATATGCAGAAGATTGAAACTGGACCCCTTCCTTATACCATATACAAAAATCAACTCAAGATGGATTAAAGACTTAAATGTAAAACCTAAAACAATAAAAATCCTGGAAGGTAATCTAGGAAATATCATTCTACACATAGGCCTTGGCAAAGATTTAATGATGAAGATGACAAAAGTAATTGCAATAAAAACAAAAATTGACAAATGAAACTTAATTAAATTAAAGAGCTTCTGCACATCAAAAGAAAATGTCAACAGAGTAAACAAACAGCCTACAGAATGGGAGAAAATATTTACAAACTATACATCTGACAAGGTCTAATATTCACAATCTATAAGGAACTTAAACAAATCAGCAAGCAAAAAACCAACAACCCCATTAAAAAGTGTACAAAGGATATGAACAGACACTTCTTAAAAGAAGACATACACATGTGGCCAACAAACATATGAAATATGCTCAATATCACTAATCTTCAGAGAAATGCATATCAAAACCACAATGAGATACCATTTCCCACCAGTCACAATGGCTATTATTAAAAAGTCAGAAAATAACAGATGCTGAAGATGATGCAGAGAAAAGGGAATGCTTATACACTGCCAGTGGGAATGTAAATTAGTTCAGCTATTTTGGAAACCAACTTGATAATTTCTCAAATAACTTAAAAATAGAACTACCAATCATCCTAGCAATTCCATTATTGGGTATGTATCCAAAAGAATAGAAATCATTCTACGATAAAGACAAGTGCAACACATGTGTTCATTGCAGCACTATTCACAAAAGCAAAGACATAGAATCAACCTAAATGTTCATCAGTGGTAGACTAGATAAAGAAAATGTAGTACATATACACCATGGAATACTACACAGTCATAAAAAGAATGAGATCATATCCTTTGCAGTAACATGGATGGAGCTGGAGGCCATTATCCTAAGCAAGCTAACACAGGAATAGAAAACCAAATGCTGTATGTTCTCACTTATAAGTGGAAGCTAAACATTGAGTATACATGAACACAAAGAAGGGAACAACAGACACTGAGGCCTGCTGAGAGGTAGATGGTGGGAGGAGGGTAAGGATCAAAAACTACCTATCAAGGGCCAGGCATGGTGGCTGATGCCTGTAATTGCAGCACTTTTGGGAGGCTGAGGCAGGTGGATCACTTGAGGCCAGGAGTTCGAGACTAGCCTGGACATCATGGTAAAACCCTGTCTTTACTAAAAATGTTACTGTGATGGCACACACCTGTAATCCCAGCTACTCAGGAGGCTAAGGCATGAGAATCACTTGAAACCAGGAGGTTGCAGTGAGCTGAGATGGCACCACTGTACTTCAGCCTGGGTGATAGAGTGAGGCTCTGTTTCAAACAAAAAGAAAAACAAAAGCCACCTATAAATTAAATGCTTATCACCTGGGTGATGAAATAATCTTACATCACACCCTTGCTACACACAATTTATCTGTATAACAAACCTGCACATGTAGTCCTAAGCCTAAAATAAAAGTGTAAAAAAATACTGTAACAGAAACAAAGAATGCCTTTGATGGGCTTATTAGTAGATGCAAAATGGCTGAGGAAAAAATCTCTGAGCTTGAGGATGTCTTAATAGAAACCTCCAAAACCTGAAAAACAAAGAGAACACAGACTGAAAAAAAAAAAAAAACAGAAGAGAATATCTAAGGATTATGACACTACTACATACATACATAGATGCATGAAAAATACTAGAAGGAGAACAGAGAGAAAAGAAGAAATATTTAAAACAATAATGCCTGAGAATTTCCTCAAATTGATGTCAGACGACAACCCATAGATCCAGGAAGCTTAGAGATCACTAAGTAGGATAAACACCAAAAAGAAACACCACCACCATTACCACCACCACCACCACCACCACCACCTAGGCATATTATTTTCAAACTACAGAAAATCAAAGGTAAAGAAAAAATCCTGAAAGAAGCCAGAGTGGGGAAAACCATTTTGCCTATATAGGAACAAAGATAAGAATTACATTAGACTTCTCAGAAATCATGCAAGTATAAGAATGCTTGTGATTTTTGTACATTGATTTTGTATCCTGAGACTTTGCTGAAGTTGCTTATCAGCTTAAGGAGATTTTGGGCTGACAGAGAGCCAAATCATGAGTGAATTCCCATTCACAATTGCTTCAAAGAGAATAAAATACCTAGGAATCCAACTTACAAGGGACGTGAAGGACCTCTTCAAGGAGAACTACAAACCACTGCTCAATGAAATAAAAGAGAATACAAAGAAATGGAAGAACATTCCATGCTCATGGGTAGGAAGAATCAATATCGTGAAAATGGCCATACTGCCCAAGGTAATTTATAGATTCAATGCCATCCCCATCAAGCTACCAATGACTTTCTTCACAGAATTGGAAAAAAACTACTTTAAAGTTCATATGGAACCAAAAAAGAGCCCGCATCACCAAGTCAATCCTAAGCCAAAAGAACAAAGCTGGAGGCATCAGGCTACCTGACTTCAAACTATACTACAAGGCTACAGTAACCAAGACAGCATGGTACTGGTACCAAAACAGAGATATAGATCAATGGAACAGAACAGAGCCCTCAGAAATAACGCCGCATATCTACAACTATCTGATCTTTGACAAACCCGAGAAAAACAAGCAATGGGGAAAGGATTCCCTATTTAATAAATGGTGCTGGGAAAACTGGCTAGCCATATGTAGAAAGCCGAAACTGGATCCCTTCCTTACACCTTACACAAAAATTAATTCAAGATGGATTAAAGACTTAAACATTAGACCTGAAACCATAAAAACCTTAGAAGAAAACCTAGGCATTACCATTCAGGACATAGGCATGGGCAAGGACTTCATGTCTAAAACACCAAAAGCAATGGCAACAAAAGCCAAAATTGACAAATGGGATCTCATTAAACTAAAGAGCTTCTGCACAGCAAAAGAAACTACCATCAGAGTGAACAGGAAACCTACAAAATAGGAGAAAATTTTCGCAACCTACTCATCTGACAAAGGGCTAATATCCAGAATCTACAATGAACTCAAACAAATTTACAAGAAAAAAATCAAACAACCCCATCAAAAAGTGGGTGAAGGACATGAACAGACACTTCTCAAAAGAAGACATTTATGCAGCCAAAAAACACATGAAAAAATGCTCATCATCACTGGCCATCAGAGAAATGCAAATCAAAACCACAATGAGATACCATCTCACACCAGTTAGAATGGCAATCATTAAAAAGTCAGGAAACAACAGATGCTGGAGAGGATTTGGAGAAATAGGAACACTTTTACACTGTTGGTGGGACTGTAAACTAGTTCAACCATTGTGGAAGTCAGTGTGGCGATTCCTCAGGGATCTAGAACTAGAAATACCATTTGACCCAGCCATCCCATTACTGGGTATATACCCAAAGGACTATAAATCATGCTGCTATAAAGACACATGTATACGTATGTTTATTGTGGCACTATTCACAATAGCAAAGACTTGGAAACAACCCAAATGTCCAACAATGATAGACTGGATTAAGAAAATGTGGCACATATACACCATGGAATACTATGCAGCCATAAAAAATGATGAGTTCATTTCCTTTGTAGGGACATGGATGAAACTGGAAATCATCATTCTCAGTAAACTATCGCAAGAACAAAAAACCAAACACGGCATATTCTCACTCATAGGTGGGAATTGAACAATGAGAACCCATGGACACAGGAAGTGGAACATCACACTCTGGGGACTGTTGTGGGGTGGGGGGAGTGGGGAGGGATAGCATTAGGAGCTATACCTAATGCTAAATGACGAGTTAATGGGTGCAGCACACCAGCATGGCACATGTACACATATGTAACTAACCTGCACGTTGTGCACATGTACCCTAAAACTTAAAAGTATAATAATAATAAAATAAAATAAAATAAATCATGCAAGTAAAATGAAAGTCGTGTGAAATACATACAGTTATAAAAGAAAATCCCACCAACCTAGAATTTTGTTCCTTGAGAAATTATCCTTCAAAAGTAAAGGAGAAATAAAGACTTTCTCAGACAAACAAAAATTGAGGGAATTTGTTGCTAGGAGACCTGCCTTGCAAGAAATGTTAAATGAAGGAAAATAACATAGGTCAGAAACTCAGGTCTACATAAAGAAAGATCACTGAAGAAAGAATCGATGAAGGTAGGTTTTACAGACTTTTATTTTTCTTAATCTAACAGACAACCTGTTCTAATAATAATAGTAAAAATGTACTCAATGATGTATGCTTATGTGTGCATGTGTGTGTGTACATATATTTTCTTATGTATGTTTATATATAAATGGAGTGATGGTAATTATAGAAGGGATGGAGGAGAGAATTAGGATTATTTTGTTATTATAAGGTACCCACATTACCTATGAAGTGGTATAATGTTGTTTGAAAGCAGACTTGGGCCAGGTGTGGTGGCTCATGCCTGTAATCCCAGCAATTTGGGAGGCCAACGCAGGTGAATGGCTTGAGCTCAGGAGTTCAAGACCAGGTTGGACATCATGGTGAAACCCTATCTCTACAAAAAATACAAAAATTAGCCAGATGTGGTGGCACTCACCTTTGGTCCCAGCTACTCAGGGTGGCTGAGTTAGGAGGCTCACTTGAGCCCAGGAGGTCAGGGCTGCAGTGAAATGAAATTGTACCACTCCACTCCAGCTCAGCAACAGATGAGACCCTTTCTCAAAAAAATTTAAATTTAATTTAAAAAGGAAAGTAAACTTGGATTAGTTGTAAATGTATACAGCCAATTCTAGGGCAACCACTAAAAAAAGTATAACTGATATGTTAGAAAGGAGAGATAAGGGAATCTGCTCAATTAAAACCATAAAAAGAAATCAATAGCATACTAGTTAAAAATAGATGGTGTATCCATAATATAAAGTATTTTGCAACAGTTAAATGAAATGGGGCAGATATATTAACTTTATGTAAAAGGCAATCTATTGTTTTTAGAACCAAATTGGCCTTAAAAATTGTTTAATGCAAAAAAATTACACATAACAAAATTACAGCCTCACAATATGATGTGCACTCATTTCTAACTTTTCCTTCATGATTCGCATGATAACGTACTACACGTTGAGTATCCCTAATCCAAAAATCCAAAATTTAAAATGCTGAAAAATCTGACACTTTCTGAGCACCACCATGAAGTTCAAAAGAAATACTCATTGGAGCATTTCAAATTTCAGGTTTTCAGATTAGGCATGCTGAACCAAATATTCCCAAATCCAGAAAAAAAAAAATCCCAAATCTGAAACAACTTCTGGTCCTAAGCATTTCAGATAAGGGATACTCAACCTATACTGACTATTCAAATCAGCCTTAAAAATCTTTATTTTCCCTGTTTAAAAAAAAGGCAGAAAGGACTAGAAGATAGAAATGGAACAAAGAACAGAGACAACAAATAGAAAACAGTAAGAAATAGGGTAGATATTAATCCAACTACATCAATAATCACTTTGAACATCAATGATCTAAATGTACCAATTAAAAGACAGAAATTGTCAGGGTGGATCAAAAAACAAAAAACAAGATCCAACTACATGTTAATTACGAGAAACTCACTTTAAATATAAAGACACAATTAAAAGCAATTGGTTGGAGAACAAGATACCATGTGAAAACTCATTAAAAGAAATCAAGGGGAGCCTTAATAATTTCAGACAGAGCAGATTTCAAAGCAAGGGAAGCTATGAGGGATAAATAAAGGCATTACATAGTAATAAAGGGGTCAATTCTCTAAGAAGTCAAAACAATCCTTAACACACATGTTCTTTAATGTGTATGTGTCTAACAACAGAGTGTCAAAATACATGAAGCAAAAACTGACAGCACTGAAAGGAAAAATAGATAAATCCACTATCATCATTGGAGACTTCCAAAATCCTTCTTTCAGAAATAGACAGATACAGCAGATAGAAAATCAGTAAGGACATAGTTGAACTTGACAATACCATTGATCAAAAGGATAAAACTGACATCTACAGACTACTTCATTCAACAGCAGCAGAATACAAATCTTCTCAAGCTCACATGTAATATTCACCGAGATAGACCATATTTAGGGCCATAAAAGCCATAGACTTTTTTTAAAAACAGAAATCATACAATGTCTGCACTCAGACCACAGTGGAACTAAATTAGAAATCAATAACAGAATAACTAGAAAATCCTGAAACACATGGAGATTAAACAACACACTTCTAAATAACACATGGGTTAAAGAAGAAATCTCAAGATAAATTTTAACGTATTTTGAACTAAATAGAAATGAAAACACAACTTATCAAAATTTGTGGATATAGTGAAAGCAATGCTTAGGAAAAAATTTATAGCAGTGAATACATATATTAGAAAGGAAGAAAGATATAAAATCCATAATCTAAGTTTCTACCTTAGAAAAAGAAAAAGCAAATTTAATCAAAGTAAGCAGAAGGAAAGAAGTAAGAATTAGAGCGGAAATCAATGGAATTAAAAATGGGAAATCAATACAGAAAATCAAGAAGACCAAAAGCTGGTTCTTTGAAAAGATCAGTAAAATTGCTAAGCCACTAGACAGGCTAATTAAGAAAAAAAGAGAGAACACAAATTGCTAGTATCAGAAATGAAAGAGGGGACATCACTATAGATGTAAGAAACATTTACGAGATCATAAAACAATACTATGAGGGACTCTATGTCCACAAATTTGATAACTTAGATGAAATGCACCAATTCCTTGAAAGACACAAGTTGCTAAAACTCATACAAGAATAGACTATTTATTCAATAAATTGAATCAATAATTAATAACCTTCCACATCAGAAAGCACCAGGCCCAGATGGGTTCACTGTTGCTTCTACCAAACACTTAAGGAAGAAATTATAACAATTCCCTACAATCTCTTTCAGAGGATAGAAGCAGAAGGAATATTTCCTAACTCATTCTATGAGACCACCATCAACCTAAACCAAAATAAAAACCAAAACCAAAGATGTTATAAGAAAATTAAACTACAGACCAGTATTTTTCATAAACATGCACATAAAAAGTTTTAACAAAATATTTGCAAATAAAATCCAACAATATATAAAAAGAATTATACAACATGACCAAGTGGGATTTATCCCCTCTAAGTGAGGCTAGTTCAGTGTTCAAAAATCAATTAATGTAATTCATTACATCAATAGACTAAAAATAAAAATATCACATGATCATATAAATAGACACAAACAAAAGCTTTTGACAAAATACAACACCCATTCATGATAAAAATTCTCAGTAAACTAGGAATACAGGAAAAATTCCTCAACCTGATAAAGGATATCTACAAAAAACTTATAGTTAACATCATACTTAAGGGTGAGAAACTCAAAGCTTTTCCAACTAATGTCAGTTACAAGGCAAAAATGTTCTCTCTCACCACACTTTTTCAACATTGTACTGGAAGTTCTAGCTAATGCAACAAGATAAAAAAGGAAATAAATATATAAAGATTGGGAAAGAAGAAATAATGTTCTCCTTCAGTGATGACACGATTGTCTATGTAGAAAATTTAAAAAAATCGATAAAAAGACTGCTGGAACTAATAAGTGATTCTAGCTAGGTTGCAGGATACAAGGTTAATATACAAAGGTCAATCACTTTTCTATATATCAGCAATGAATAAGTGGAATTTGAAATTAAAAGCATAATACCGTTTACATCAGCACCCCCCCAAAATGAAACAGGTATAAATCTAACATAATATATACAAGATCTATATGAGGGAAATTATGAATCTCTGATGAAATAAATCAAAGAAGAACTAAAAAAATGGAGAGAGATTTTATACTAATGGATAACAAGACTTATTATTGGCAAGATGTTAGTTCTATTAGCTGGACATAGTGGCACACCTCTGTAGTCTCAGCTACTTGGGAGCCTGAGGCAGAAGGATCACCTGAGCCCAGGAGTTTGAGGCTGCAGTGAGCTATCATCACACCACTGCACTCCAGCCTGGGCTATAGAGTGAGACTCTATCTCTAAAAAAAAAAAAAAAAAGATGTTAGTTCCTCCCAACTTCATCAATAGATGCAAAGCAATCCCAATAAAAATCCCAGCAAGTTACTTTGTGGATGTTGACAAACAGATTCCAAAGTTTATATGGAGAGGTAAAAAAGGTTTAGAATAGTCAACACAATTGAAAACAAAGTTTGAAAACTAACAATATCTGACATCAAGAGTTACCATAAAGGTACAGTGATCAAGACAATGTAGTATTGGCAAAAGAATAGACAAATAGATCAATGAAACAGAACAGAAAGTCCAGAAATAGACCCACATAAATGTAGTCAATTGATCTTTGACAGATAACAAAAGGCAATGCAGTGAAACAAAGACAGTCTTTTCAATAAATGGTGCTGGAACAACCGTACATCCATATGCAAATAATTGAATCTCGGCACAGACCTTACACCCTTCACAAGAATTATCTCAAAATGGATCATAGACCTAAATGTAAAGTGCAAGACTATAAAACTCCTAGAAGATAACATAAAAGAAAACCTAGATTACCTTGAGTATGGCAATGACTTTTTAGATACAACAAAGGCATGATTTTTGAGAGCAAGAAATGATAATCTGGACCGCTCTGTGAAAGACAACGTCAAGAGAATGAGAAGACAAGCCACATACTGGGAGAAGATATTTGCAAAACACTTATCTGATAAGGGGCTATTATGCAAAATATACAAAGAACTCTTAAAACTCAACAATAAGATAACAAACAACCTAACTAAAAAATGGGCCTTAACAGGTACCTCACCAAAGAAAATATATAGATGGCAAGTAAGCATATGAAAAGATGTTCCATATCATATGTCATCAGGGAAATGCAAATTAAGACAATGAGATACTACTACATACTTATTAGAATGACTAAAATCTGGAACACTGACAACACCAAATGCTGACAAGGATGAGGAGCAACAGGAACTCTCACTCATTGCTGGAGGGAATGCAAAATGGTTCAGCCATTTTGGAAGACAGTTTGGAGGATTTCTTGTTTTATTTTGTTTTTTGTTTTTACAAAACTGCACATATTTTTACCATATGATTCTGTAATCACACTCCTTGGTATTTACCTAGAGGAGTTGAAAATATGTCCACAGAGAGAATTGAACATGGATGTTTATAGCAGCTTTATTTATAGTTGTCAAAACTTGGAAGCAACCAAGATGTCCTTCAGCAGATGAATGGATAAACTGTGGTATATCCAGACAATGGGATATTATACAATGCTAAAAAGAAATAACCTATTAAGCCATGAAAAGACATGGAGGAATCTTAAATATTACTAAGTGAAAGAAGCCAAACTGAAAAGGGGCACATACTATATCATTACAACTATATGACATTCCAGAAAAGGCAAAACTGTGGAGACAGTAAAAAGATCAGTGGTTGCCAGGGGTTGGGAGGGATGACTAAGCAGAGTACAGAGTATTTTTAGGGTAGTGAAACTATTCTGTATGATACTATAGTGATGGATACATGACATTATACATTGGTTGAAACCCATAGAATGTACAACACCAACAGTGAGCCTTAAAGTTAACTGTAGACTTTGGGTGATTATGCTGTATGAATGCAGGTTCATCAGTTGCAACAAATGTACCATCTTGGTGCAGGACATTGATAATGGGGAGGTTATGCATGTGTGGGGGCAGGAGATATATGGGAAATCTCTGTATCTTCCTCTCAATTTTGCTGTGAACCTAAAACTAAAGACACCTTTTAAAAAAAGAAAGGGAAGATCTTGATTTTTCCAGTAGGCAGTTATCTGATCTTACAGAGTTTGGCATACTAGTAGAAATCTAGGTGCATGGTTGAAAGCTGTCTCAAGCCTCCTGCATCAAGTGCTGGGTGGGGTCACAGAGAGTCTGGCAGCATGACAGCAGCAGGGGCCATCCCTGGGCCTAGAACACTAATTGACAATTGTCTAGTCAACAATGACTTTGGCAAGAGACAAAGGAGACAGAACCCCTGACCTGGGTAGCAGCCTGGGCTTATGTAAGCTGCATTCTCCCTGCTTCTCTCAAGTCTCAGCTAGTTCACTGATTTTCACCATGGAGAACATCACAATTTCTTGAGATCAGAACATTGCTGCTGACAAAATACAGTGCAAAATAATTCTGCCTTCTTTTCTCTTACGAGCTGATACAACAGCAGAGGCACTCCTGCTATGTCTGAAATTCCTCTTGCCTCTCATTTTTGACCTGACACTGGTGAAGGTGCACACATTTTGATGTAAGTCAGGACCACACATTAGCTCAGTTTCCTACCCATGCTGCCAGGCATCAAGGGTAAGTCTATGACCAAGAACTGTAACAGGGCTCTGCCCAATAGTGTAATTAACAGTGCAAAACAGAGGCTGAGCCATTTCTGACTTGCATGGGAAAATACATTTCAGTGTCTCATAATTATTTGTCTGTTCAGAGACCTGGATAATGAGTTGGCTTTCTTCAGACCTCCTGGAAAACTCACTCAGTTGTCTGCTTCAATCAAAGGCCCTGTGTTTTAACTGCTGGTGTCAAGAATTTGGACACTTTGACTTGCAGAGATAATGTTAAGAAATCAGAGTTCTGTCTCCATCTTTGGATGACAGGTAAGGCAAAGATGGGCCTGCTTTTTCCCATTTCTCCAAGCTGTGTTGCACCATGATAGTGAAGTCAGTAGCACTGGGTTTGTCTTATCAAGAACCTCTGGGTGATAACAGACCATCCTGAGAATAATCTGTGTGAAAGTCAGGTGTGCCCTGGACCAGTTGTTGCTGAGATACAAGCTGTGATGCTGCTGGCAGGTCTGGAACTGTACACCACCTAGAACCTGAGACCTAGGCACAGGAGTGGACAAAAATTTCTAATGGGAGAGCATAAGGCTTGTCCTCTTTATCTGTCACAGGTGACACTAAGCAAAAAAGGTTACAAACCAAATCCCGTCAGTCACCTCTGTTCTACAGGTGGAGGTCCTTTGGAAGGCATTTGATGCTACTGCCATGGTCTGTGCAAGTGCCTTCCAAACACTCATACCTATCCCTCATGACCAAGGGAGAAAAGGGCCTGTAAGAAAGTCCTTCCACCACAGATAATAAAAACACCTTATGTTATAGACTGAACTGTGTATCCCCCAAATTCATATGTTGAAGTCCTAACTCCCATTACCTCTGAATATTTGTATATTTGTAGACCAGGGCTTGAAAGAGGTGATTAAGTTAAAACAAGGCTGTTATTGTGGGCCCTAATCTAATCTGACTGGTGTCCTTATAAGAAGAAATTTGAACTCACAGAGACACCAGGGATGTGGGTCCACACAGAAAAAAGGACATATGAGAACACTGAAAGAAGACAGCCATCTGTAAGCTAAGGAGAGAGCCCTGAGGAGAAACCAAACCTGCTGGCACCTTGATCTTGGACTTCCAGCCTTCAAAACTGTCAGAAAATATATTTCTGTTGTTTAAGCAACTTGGTTATGGTACTTTGTTATGGCAACCCGAGCAGACTAATACACCTGATTTTTCTGATGAGTTCTGATGAGTAGCTTTAATCTGGGAGGGGAAAGGAATGTTTTTAATCTCCGTTTTATAGTTCTGCAATTTATTTATTACTATCTACCCTTGCATTTCACAAAGCATTTGAGGAAGCCTAAAAGAACATATATTATACTATACAAAACATTAAACTAATTAGTTGAAATCAGGGTAGAGGAAAAATAAAGTCAGGAAAGTCATAATCTAAGAGTAAGATTAACACAGAAATGCATACCATATAGGCGGGGCGCGGTGGCTCATGCCTGTAATCCCAGCACTTTGGGAGGCCAAGGCGGGTGGATCACCTGAGGTCGGGAGTTCGAGACAAGTCAGACCTACATGGAGAAACCCCATCTCTACTAAAAATACAAAATTAGCCAGGCACGGTGGTGCATGCCTATAATCCTAGGTACTCAGGAGGCTGAGGCAGGAGAATCGCTTGAACCTGGGAGGCGGAGGCTGTGGTGAGCCTAGATCACCCCATTGCACTCCAGCCTGGGCAACAAGAGTGAAACTCCGTCTCAAAAAAAAAAAAAAAAAAAGAAAGAAAGAAATGCATACCATATAATCTTCGAAGACAGAGGTAAATTTGATTCTATGATTCCTAGTGGCCAAAGCAGAAAAGATGATCAGTATGCTCACCAACTCAAACCCTAGGATTAAAAACAAACCTGCTACTCAGGAAAAACAGCTTCCCAGATACTAAGGCAGCAGAGAAAGAGAACATTGCAATGTGGAGGAGGAAGACCTGAAAACATGGCATGATACAGAAGGTGACAATATTTCTTGTCATATCCTTAATTGAAATCAACAGCATGAAATCAGAACACACTCAGGACAAACAACTGGGAGTGAGAGCAAGTGGGCAGAGGAGACCTCTCTCCCCTTAAATGTCATGGTCATGAAATGGGTGGATTCAGTAGTAAGATTTAGAAGATGGGGAGAAATTGGTGGTGGTCACATCTTTCCAGCAAACCTTTATGAATATGAATTTTTGCCACCAGGTTTTTTATGAATATTGGACAGCAAAGAACTCATGATAGTTTCTATGGCAGGAACATGGAATGCATGTAAATCTATATCATGTCCAGAGAAAGGGATACCCCTGGGATGAAGTGGAGAATGTTAAGGCAAACCAAAATCTCAGCCTTCCTTACATAATATTACTGGTATAATAGCGTTCTCCAAGGGCTGAGATGCCACGAGGAAGCACAAATCAGAATGCTCTGGAGTTAGACCAAGGTGGGCTGGCTCAGCTTGGCATCTGGAGGGTTGAAGGACTTGTGGCAAGTAGGTCAAATCCACAGCCTTTCCCATGTTGATAGAGGGAGGATAGCATTTCTGAGATACTCTTATAATTCAGATATCCCCGGGGCCTTAAAAATCTTAGATACAAGTAGGCTTGAAACAAAGATCTTTGGCAGGGCGCAGTGGCTCACTCCTGTAATCCCACCACTTTGGGAGGCCGAGGCAGGTGGATCACCTGAGGTCAGGAGTTCGAGACCAGCCTGGCCAACATGGCGAAACCCCATCTCTACTAAAAATGTAAAAATTAGCCAGGCGTGGTGGCGCATGCCTGTAATCCCAGCTACTCAGGAGGCTGAGGTGGGAGGATTGCTTGAACCCAGGAGGCGGAGGTTGCAGTGAGCTGAGATCACACCACTGCACCCCAGCCCGGATGACAGAGTGAGACCTTGTCTGAAAACAAACAAACAAACAAAGAAACATCTTTGGACCATCCTTGAAACAGATAAAGTGGGCCATGGGTCCCATTCCCATGATACACCCTTACCTCTTGTTCTGGAGGCAGGGATCTCTGTGTCTGCTGAACAATCCTTGGCTGCACCAAAGAGCATGCCTGCTCCTATGAGATTACCTTTCCCTGCAGTCCAGCTTCCATGGGCACAGATGGACAGAAAAAAACTGCTATTTCATATGGAGTGGGCAATACTAGGGCTCTAATATTCTTCCAGTTTTTCTAAGGTTTTGCCCATTATTCTGCACCTGACTCTACCCAGAGTGCTTCTGGCCGCTCTGTTTGTGCATTCATGTTGCACAAGGGTGACTTACCTGCATGTGCCCCTCACACCCCAAGGGTCTTAATGAAGGACAGGTGAAACTCCTTGATTCTACCCCCACCTTATCAAGAATCCAAAATAATCTCTTTGTAAATTTTTTTTGTCAATATCTTCATACCATACTGTCAGAGTAAACTTGCCTCCTTTCTGAGATCCCAGGCATTGGAAGTCCAGATATGGCAGTTTATCCTGAGAATTGAAAGGTTCATGTTGCATGCTTCCTTTTTCTAATTTGGCAATTTGAAAACTATTAGGCAAAACTCAATGATAGAGAAATAAAAACAAAACTTCCTGCTTAGCCTGTAGTACCTGGTGGTGTTTAGGGTTTTCAACAATGAATAATATAATATAGATATTTCAAAATACTATAGGAACAGCTGTATCCATTTATTTAATTTTATCATAAAACATGCTTAATTGTTTAAAAATATCTAGCCCTCAGCTGGGAAAAGTACACTTTACTACAATTCAGGCATGGTCATAATGGAAATCAAATACATGTAACATAGTTTACTTACAGCTCTAAGAAGAAAAAAGAAACATGAACAAGAAAGAGTAAACAGGAGCTACTAGGAACACTGAAGAAGCCTTGGCACTATGAACATAAATACTGCCCAAGAAGTCCTTGAACTCTGCTCCCACATGCCCCCTACACCCCAACCCTGGCCATCTGTTTTGCAGTTGATAAGAGCTAATGGGTCTGCTTTAGGATTGTTTGCTTGGAAGCAGGATTTCAAATTTGTGTAGTGAAAAAACTAACAGAACAAATATTTTCATAGTCAATGAGACACTAACTCATAAAGTCAGGGCCTGCAGAATGGCAATTGAAGTGGCCAAGAAAGAGGGGTAGAAGGGATGGTATTTATTGGGTGACCACTTAATACACAATATAGTGCTATTTTTAATTATTCCTCCATTGTACAGGTGAAGAAACTGAGGCTCTGAGAAGTAAAGGGACTTGTCTAAGACCACAGAGTAAAAGTAGCCAAGTTGCAAACCCAGATTGTTCAGGTCCTAAAATCCACATTGTTCTCATTATAGCGATTTATCTCTCTGATGCTTCCCATCATTACTGAAATGGAGCAAATGGAATTAGGGTACAAATGTGTTAAGCATCAGCTGGCACAGACATGCGTGCACACACAGAAATTATTTATTTAGAAAACAATAGGCAAGGATGACTTTTGTGAAGAAAGATGAAAGCCTGAGGACATAGTTATTAGTAAAGAAGCAGAAGAATGACTCAGGTGCCCGCATGAGAAAAGTTTGTTTTGCTCTTGAGAAACGTGGGAAAGTGAGAGATGCCAGAAAACTGAAATGGAGCTGGGGATGAAGACTGTTTTTCAAAATAGAGAAGTTTTATTCTCCACCTACTTGGAGTGCCCTTGGGAGACAGATTTCAGCCATCAGCCCTCTTGAAGAATTGCCCTCAGCTGAGCTCAGCTCAAGAACTGCCTCATCAGGGCTCATGCCCTTCCTGCATTCCTGCAGTGAGTGACTGGTAGACGCAGGGCTCTTGAGCTCAGCCCCCTCAATGAACTCTGCAAGGCCATCCCAACTTCAGTGCACCCTGTGCTGTTGACCAGGCCTTGCTGAGATGGTACCACAGCCCACCTTCTCTCTCTACCCACTCCTGTTTCCTTCCTTGCCCCTATATAAATGGATCCAGAGAGCTGGCCATCCCCAGAAACCTTTCCACATGAAAATCATCTCAGAGCCTCCTTTCCAATGGGCCCACCTGCTAAAGAGCATTTTTAAAGAACAGGGATGCCTAATGATTAGTTTGAAGTTGCTTATGTCCTTGTGACATGAGGCTTTTATTGCTAGCTTTCAAATTTTCAAAAAAGTCAAGTGTACTCACAGAAGATTTGGATGAATAGGAGTACATTTTTCAGGGTTCTCTAGAGGGACAGAACTAATAGGATAGATGTATATATGAAAGGGAGTTTATTAAGGAGGATTGACTTACACAGTCACAAGGTGAAGTTCCACAATAGGCCATCTGGAGCCAGGAAGCCAGTTCGAGTCTCAAAATCTCAAAAGTAGGGAGGGCAACAGTGCAGCCTTCAGTCTGTGGCCGAAGGCTTGAGAGCCCCTGGCAAACCACTTGTGTAAGTCCAAGAGTCCAAGAGCTGAAGAACTTGGAGTCTGATGGGCAGGAAGCATCCAGTATGGGAGAAAGATGAAGGTCAGAAGACTCAGCCAGTCTAGTCCTTCCACGTTCTTCTGCCTGCTTTTATTCTAGCCATGCTGGCAGCTGATTAGATAGTGCCCACCCAGATTGAGGGTAGGTCTGCTTCTCCCAGTCCACTGACTCAAATGTTAATCTCCTTTGGCAACACCCTCACAGACACACCCTTGACTGGATTTGCATCCTTCAATCCAATAAAGTTGACACTCACTTAACCATCACAGGGAGTATTGGGGAAAATGAATTAAAAGCCTAGATTTTTCACTCTGCATCAATATGGGTCAGAATGGGGACAATAGAGACAGAAGCCCAGAGGATGAGATCATCACAGCACCCAAGAGTTTGTAGAAGTCTTAGGAAAGGCTTTGAGCTACCATAGGGCATGTCCTAAGGGCTTAAGTCAAAGTTGCCTAGATCTGGAGAGGCAGGGACAAGCTGGCTGACATCTGGGCTACAGTTATGCTAGTGAACCTCCGCTTCAGAGAAAGATGATAAGTCATTCCTGGAGCAGGGAAACAAATACAACAGGTCCATTTCAGGGAGAAGTGCATGAATCTGCTCACTCCTTTATAAGAGATGGGCCTCCTCCTCTGAACTTCCAGAGTGCTGGCTCCACTCCAGTGGCTCCTGGCATTTGCCCTCAGTCTTGTAAATCACACTTACAGGTGTCCGGTTTCCCTAGCTAGGTTGTAAGGTGTCTTTTTGTTCTATGCCCCAAAGCACAATGCCTCACACCTAACAGACTCTCAAGAAGAATTCAATTAATTGCTTCCAGGCCTTGAGACAGCTGAGTAAGAGGTCTGACAGGCTCTTTAAAGGATCTCTTAAAACCGACATATAAATTTAGAACCACTACTCTTTGGGTAAGGAACCCTTATTTGCTGATTACCAAGCTTTTGTTACGTACAAACTTTTGTTGTTTTGAAATTGAAATGCTGATTTCAATCAGCAGTTTCTTCAGAAACACTGCCTGATACTGACCTTTTATTTTAAAAAGGGAATGTTGGAGGTACAACTAGCACTTTTTCAATGAGATTTGGAAAAGGAATGAGAAAAGAACCATCACTGCATCTGTTTCTCCATTAAAGGGTTACTTCAATCAGTGAAACAGAATGAGCTTTGTTCATAAAGCACTTGGAAATCTTGAAATAGTAAAATAGTACATTCTAGTGATACACACACACACACACACACACACACACACACAGTAATAGCCTGAGCTCAGAGAATGAGATGCTGTCAAAATACAAATACCAATACCTGCCAATTCAGAAAAGCATGTGAAAGGGCATAAAATATGACAGCAGACAGACCAACCCTAGAAGCCAGCTTTGGTCTTGGGTGTTTAACTTAACCTCTTTGAATCACAGCTTCTGCATCTCTAAGGTGAGTTGGTTTGTACTTATGGCTACCAAATGAAAACAAATAGGTTCCAGAGCATGATGCCAGGTACATAAAAGGCCTGTGGTAATTAAGAGGCTTCTTTAGAGTTCCTGATGAGATCTAGACTTTAGCATCACTCAGCTCCCACTGTTCCCATCTCATCTTGGCAGTACTTTCCAGCTCTGGTTTTAGAATTAACTACACTTCTATTTGAAGTGTAGCCTTGCCACTTACTAGCTATATGGCAATGGGAGGGTTTCTTCACCTCTTGAAATACAAACTCTTTACCTATAAAATGGAGAATCCTCCGCACCTCACAGGTATATGGTGAGAACTTCAGGAAACAGAAGGTGTCTTAGCACACTCCCTGGCACAAAGGAGGCATGCATTGAAAGTTAGTTTCCCTCCATATAAACATTGCTATGGCTTTGGTCCAGTTCAAAATCTGAGCTGGTACGATTATAAACTTCATGTTACTACCCTATCTTAGGAACATTTTTAGCAAGTGCTTAATGTCTCACCATCATTTTTACAAGTGATTGCTACTGTACCATGAGCTATATATCAGGTTAACAAGAAGGACAATAAAGATCATGGACTTCTCATGTTCTGTTTAGATCTTCCTGTCAAGATATTCCTGTGATTGAAAGTGAAGGAGAAATTTCAAGAACTTGTGAACCGGCTATCTGAGACTGAATCAGTTATGAGGTCTGACCTCACTGTTATTTATAGAAAATCCCTGTGCCTTCTGCAGCCTCTAAATAGTTGACTTCAGCCCTCACGGCAGCACTATACCAGGGCTGTGCTCTGACCTGGGGAGGAGAACAGGCATCTATGACACAGATGCAAAAATACAGAAACCTGTTTTGACCATCAGCAGTGGCATGCACTGTGGTAGCCATTCAATATACCAGGGCATGAGACAGTTCTATGAAGAAGATCACCTTACCCCTCATCTTCCTCTATAAATACTATAAACACAATGTCCACATATAGGAGAAGCAATGTCCACTTGGGCATGATGTGCATGTCACTACACTGATCTCTATGGCATTAATAATGCCAGACTAATGTCTGATCTCTAGGCATTAATAATCTAAAACTGATGACACCAAAATCAGCAGCCCTGGAAAGGTGATTCCTCCTAGATATTAGAGATTTAGAACACCACAAACCCCTACTCCTCATTAAGATAATTTAAACAAAAATCTCTGGCTAAATAGCTAAATGAGAAAAAAAAGTATCGCTTTTATTAATCTTTGCAAGCAACACCATTTGACTCCCAGTAAGCAAGGTTTCTGGAAAGCTGTGTTGGATATCTCAGCTGAAACCTGAGGCTAAAAGTGGTTTCTTCCCTTCCACTCCAAATTTAGATGTGGGGACATTTTGTGCACTTTAATCTCAAGTGTGTTTGCTGTAAGACATGAAAATATAGCTTCCTAAATTCCAAAAAATATACCAAAAGCAAGTAAAATAGACCACACAATGAAATACTACATTTATAAAAGACAAAAGTAGATATACAATAGATGGATGGATGGATAGATAGATAGGCAGACAGACAGACAGGCAGAATAAACTCCAAAAGTTTGATAACGTACTTTGTGGGGAAACAACACTCTCATACTTTGCTGGTGGGAATGCAAAGTGGCATTTGGAAATACCTACCAAAATTATGTATGCATTTATTCTCTAACTAAGCAATCTCACTTCTAGAAATCTATCTCAAAGATACATTGGCAATAAAACAAACAAAAAACCCTGAATGTGCAAGGCTATTAATTACAGCACTATTCGTACTAGCGAAAGACTGCAAATACTCGTATGTCCGTCATTAGGTTACAGGTTGAATAAACAATAGTACATCTACACAGAGGAGAACTTGGAAGCTGTAAAAAGAAGTGAAGAATATTGCCATATACTACTGTGCTCCAGCATATATTACTAAATAAAGGAGACAAAATGTATATAATATGTTACCAATTTCTTAAGCAGCAGGAGAGAGATTC